>NT_187689.1:0-197351 GCF_000001405.40 Homo sapiens
CATTATAATAAAAACCTTTAAATGCTCTGAGTGCCCAGCGTCAGCATGGTGATAACATACATACGAGGGAATATTGTGCAGCTGCAGTTAGTTCTTATTACATTTCACAGGCATCTTAAATGCTTTGTGAACACCGGTGCATAGATTTTTTTGTTTGGTATAGATGGCAATGATTAGATGGGTGAAATAATAAAAAAAATGGACATATAATTTTAAAAATATTGAGTGACAGAAAAAAATGAAAAAATGTTAAAGAACTTTTTGGTTATGATATTATCACTAAAAGGCCGTGTCTCCTTGCTCCCTTCTTTGGGGACGGTTCTGGGCTTGCCTGGCCCGTGGGTGGGAATTGTGGTGCTCCAAGTGCCTTCAGCTGCTGCTGGGGTCCCAGGAGCCCAGCCTAGGTGTTCTTCCATCCTCACCACCCCATGGCCTCCATGGAGCCCCACGGCAGCCTCAGGAAGGAGGGCAGTATCGTCAGAACACAGTCCTCATGGACCCCCCAAGAGACCCTTGGGCAGAATGCCCCATCCCACCCAGGTCCAGCTTCACTCAGCACGTAAACAGGAACACGGCTGCAGGCAGGCTCCACGCACCCCGTCCCCAGGGAAGCCGCAGCCCTCGTCCCACGTATCCCGGGCAGGCATCTGTAACTGAGGGCTGCGTGGTCGGGTGAGCAGCGAGGCACATGCTGGCTGGGCGGGGAGGGGCGGCCCTGAGTGGTCGTCTTGCTCAGTGCTAGAGGGGCTCTGAGCCGAAGGTCTGAGGGTCCTGGAGCTGCCATGGCAGATCCCCACAGTCTCGGCAGCTCAAAACAACAGGGACTCATTCTCTCCCCGCTCAGCAGGGAGGGGTCTGAAATCGAGTCCATGGGCCGTGCTCCCTCCAGAGGCTCCAGGGGAGGACCCTGCCACCTCCACCAGCTTCTGTGGCTCCAGGCGTCCCTGGGCCGCGGCCACAATGCTGCACCTCTGCCTCGGTCTCCAGGCGACCTCCTCCTCTGTCTGCGTCTAACCTCCCTCTGCCTCTGTGTAAGGACACTTGCCGTGCATGTAGGGCCAACGAGTTAATCCAGAATGACCTCCTTATCTCAAGATCTTTAACTTAAACACAGCCACAAAGACCTGCCTCCTATTTGAAGAGAGGTTCTCTGCACAGTTCCAGGGTCAGGAGGTGAACACCAGGTGGCCCAGCCTCAGCCACCCCAGTGATGATGTGTGAGGTTTCAGAACAGCTGTGCTGCCCTGTTAGGAGCTATACACGCAGAAAGGCAACTCCGCCAGCGTCAGGGGTGCCGGATGCATGCAGGATCAGAAGGCGTCGGATTTCCCAGGGAAGCTGGGGAGCAAGGATCCTGCACCAAGGGAGGCAGGAGGCCGGAGACCAGCCCAGGCCCAGTCCAGGAGGAGCCTGGCCAGGAGTCCCACCAAAGCCACTGGAGCCTCCGTGACCCAGCCCTGGAGGGTCAGCACTGTCCCTCAAACGGATTCTTCACACACAGGTCTCTCTGTCTGTGGGGGCTGCAGGGCCAGTGCCTGAGGAGCCCGGACTTCACACAGGGGTCTCTCTGTCTGTGGGGGCTGCAGAGCCGGTGCCTGGGGAGCCCGGACTGCCGGAAACCTTTGCGGTGGGAGGCTGCAGATGGGACTTCTTGGCCTGTGTTTATGTGGAGCCCAGGCTGCGGGCACCACAGCCAGGCACAGGTCAGGGGTAAGTTGTGGGTGATGTAAGGACTAGAAGCGTAAGTAATGGCCTGACCCCCATGTCCTGGCTGTGCTGTGCGGTGGGAAAGACATGGGCTCCGGCGGCTGCTGGGGATGGCCTGGCTTGCACCTGCTGGGTCCCCCCCTGGCCACCAGCCTCACCCAAGGGCAGTTGGTGACTGCCTGCCTCACTCCTGCCAACCCTCAGGGGCCTAGGAGTCCTGCGTGGTGGGTCTAGGAACCATGCTGGAGGACAGGCCTGTGCCAGGGCCACCAGGATGTCTATGGCAGGAGCCGGTGCTGGCGAACCCCACACCTTGAGCCCCAGAGCCAGGATCCTCAGCCCAGGAAAGGGACCAGAGGCGGGAAAACCACACGGCAAAGGCTGTCCCGTGAGGTCACGGCTCCGTCACCGCTGCCCACACACGGAAGGCAGCCGCGGCTGGGTGAAGCCATCTTCACAGACATGCCGTCCTTGAGGCTCTCACACATGCACACAGACGCTCCGTCCTCTCCCACCCGCCCCCCCGCCACCCCGGGCAGGCCAGGAAGTCCCATCTGGGGCCTCCCACCCCGAGGGTTGCCGTCAGTCCGTGTGCCCAGGCATCGGGGCCTGAAGCCTCCACAGACAGCGAGACCTGTGTACGAAGCAGACTCTGTCCTAGGGACAGTGCTGACCCTACAAGGCTGGGTCACTGGAGGCTCCCCGGGTCCAGTGGCTTTGGTGGGACTCCTGGCCAGGCTCCTCCTGGGCCGGGCTGGTCTCCGGCCTCCTGCCTCCCTTGGTGGAGCACCCTTGCTCCCCAGCACCTCCCAGGTTCACACAGCTCCTCCCTGGGGCTGCGCACTGACCCAGGGGCAGGAGGTGGGCCATCCTCTCGGTGGACTGAAGACCTTGTCCGAAGGGAAAGCAGGGCCGGCCCAAGGCCTGGCTGGAAGAGTGGGTCTTGGTGGCAAAGGCGGCCCGTGGGGGCAGCCCACGCGAATGCTTCCCCGGCGCCCTGAGCCCCTGACCGCGGCTGAGCCTGCGGTACTCTGGCCCCTCTCGTGGAAAGATGACCTGGGTCTACCATGCTCAGTATCACCCAAAAATTCCTACAGAAGTCTCTCGGGACAAGAAAAGGCCTTCTTCCCTCCCTCCTCCTTTCCTCTTCCTTTCTTTCATCAGGGAACAGCTTCCGGCTGCCTGCACTGTTTGGGCGCCGTCATAAGGAGCCGTGACGGCCTTCACAGAGCTCCGGGGCTCACGGGTGTGGCTGACCTGCCACAAATGGGGCGACAGAGGAGAGGGAGGGTCGGGCACCGATGGCTCAGGAGGGAAGAGATCCCTTCTGTATGGGGAGACGGGGGCTTCCTGGAGGGCACTGGAGCGAGGGGCTCACCAGAGTGAGACATCCAAGGGATCTGGGGGACCGGCCATGGGACACTGCGGTCCCACGTGGCTCCTGGATGTGCTGTGTGTTTGCTGAGCTGGAGGGGACGGGGAGCCCATGTGTGGGAGAGGGAGAGGCCATGCACGCCCTGAGTCGGGCTTTACAAAAACCTTCTGGGGGCAGCAGGAGAGGAGCCACGCAGAGGCAGAGCCAGGGAGAGGCGGTGGGGTAGTGAGGGGGATGTCGGGGTGCACGGGTTAGGAGACCCCCGAGTCCTGGGACCTGCATGCTGATAGTCAAGGTTGCAGAGGCGGCTGCTGTGGTGACCACAGGGCAGGGAGAGGCAGTGGGGTAGTGAGGGAATGTCGGGGTGCACAGCACCAGACCCTCCCAGATCTTCTGATTCAGTCCTGGGGGGACCCTACCCCAGATCTTCCAATTCAGTCCTGGTTCGGCCTGAGAATTTGCATTTTTAACATGTCCAGGGACCACAGTTTGAAAACCTCCACGGCTGACATGTAATGGGATGACATGGTCCAATAAATGAAGGAAAAATAACAGGTGGCAACCTCAGGCAGCTTCATCCCAACCAGTAAGAAAGTAAATCCTTTTGTAAACTAAGAGGAAGTATTAATATGGGCGTTTGAGCAAACATTTAAGTGTTAGAACAAAGAATTAAAAACTAGCACAGGCACCCCTGAAGCATGATAGGATGGCAACAGAAGGGCTGATTTAGTTTCCAAGAAATAACTGACAGGCAGTGTTGTGCGTGTGTCTACTACTTAGGAACCCAAAACAAACCTTCAGACCGTTTTCATGAGTACTGAGACCAAGAAAACCACTGGGCAGTGGGTGGTCTGGAAATGTAAATGTTGATGGTACTCCAGTAATGAGTCATGGAACAATGTTTCATATTGAAAATGTTTTTGTAAATGTGGGTTTCAAGGTTTCAAAGTGAACCCGTATGTGTTAGGAGAAAGGACACACCAAAGAAGTAAAATAATTGGGTCAATATAAAAAGAAAGTAGAATACTGCCCAGAGAGAAGATGTGGATAATTCCTAACACGGATCAAAGGCACCAAAAAGGTGAGCTGTGAGTAAGATATTCAGACCTGCACCATCCCCTGCATTAGACACAGACAACATCTTGGTAGGCAACTGGGTGAAAATTCAGAGACAACCCTAGGAACTATGAGGATGAAAAAAGTTAGCATTCATGGAATGAGGCACTGACGAAACTGAAAAGCTGGAATAACCCCATGAAATAACGAGAATAATTGTAGTATTCTGAACCGGGGCACAGGACACAGGACTGGAGTGGAAGGCCGCATGAGACCACCCCGGGAAAGACCCAGGGATCACACTGGCCCAAAGGTGGGCACTTCCCAACTCCGGGATTTGTGATACAGGCACTCCAGGCTCCACCATAGAACTGTGTCCAGCACGAAGGCAGTGCTGTCTTGCGGGAGGCAGGGCTGCACCACCACAGGGGCGGGAAGGGGCCCGGCAGGGAGGCGCCCAGTGTTTCCAGCTGCACCGGTCGGGGACCGCGCTGATGCAGAGCGCGGGGGCGCAGGTTAAACCTAAAGGAGGGAAGCTTTTGGGGGCGGAACAGACAACGGAGAACGCTGCACACTGCCCTTCCCACGCGAATTGTGCTTTGCCTTTTTTTTTTTTTTTTTTTTTTTTGAGACGGAGTTTTGCTCTTGTTGCCCAGGCCTGGAGTGCAATGGCCTGATCTCGGCTCACTGCAACCTCCGCCTCCCGGGTTCAAGCAATTCTCCTGCCTCAGCGTCCCGAGTAGCTGGGATTACAGGCGTGCGCCACCACGCCCGGCTAATTTTGTATTTTTAGTAGATACTGGGTTTCTCCATATTGGCCAGGTTGGTCTCGAACTCCTGACTTCAGGTGATCCACCGGCCTCGGCCTCCCAAAGTGCTGGGATTACACGCGTCAGCCACCGCACCCGGCCTGCTTGCTTTTTTTTTTTTTTTTTTTGCAGAGTCTCGCTGTCCACCGGGCTGGAGCTGCAGTGATCTCGGCTCCCTGCGGCCTCGACCTCCCGGGCTCAGGCGATCCTCCCGCCTCAGCCCACGGAGTACATGGGACCACAGGAGCCCACCACGCCCGACTACTTGCTGTAATTTTTGTAGGGATGGGGTCTAGCCCCGCTGCCCAGGCTGGTCCGCACTGCTGGGCTCAAGAGCTCCGCCCGCCTCCGCCTCACAAAGCGCAGGGATCCCAGGTGTGAGCTACCGCGCCCCGCCCAGAGTTTCCGACTGTTAGCGTGAATCATATTCACGTCAAAACTTCTTTTTATACAAGAACTAAAAGGCAAACGAAATCCCTGCTCCATCACTGCCTGTCCCGGGTCGCGGCGCGGGACATTTCCTCCAAGCGCCTTCCCGGCCCCGCGCGCAGGTGGCCTGCGCCGGAGGATCCCGGACAACGCGCATTTCCTGCGCCCCCGGAAGCGGCGGTAACGCCTGGCCCTGCCCCCGGCAGAGGCGGAAGCACAGTCGCTCTGAGGTCGCCCGTGGCCGCAGGTGCCTCAGCCCAGCCGCGCGCCTTGGCCCTTGGCCGCCTACTCCTACCGCCCCGGCCTTGGGCGGCCCTGGGCCTGCTGCGGGCGCGGCGCTGCCCGACCAGAGCTTCCTGTGGAACGTCTTCCAGAGCTGCCACCTGGCACCGCCCCGGCACCTCCCGCCTCCCCCGCAGCTGCCCCGGACCCGTGTCCCGACCCCCGCGGCCAACCCCGTTCCCTGCCGGTTGCCCCGCGGCCTCCCCCGTCACCTGCCGGGTCCCCAGCGGCCTCCCCCGTCCCCTGCCCCGACCTCCGCCGTCTCCCCCGCCCCTGCCCGGACCCCCGCGGGCGCCCCCGAACCCTACCCCGACCGACGCGGCCGCCCCCATCCCCTGCCCCGACCCCCGCGGCCGCCCCCATCCCCTTCCGGGTCCCCCGCGGTCTCCCCCGTCCGCTGCCCGGTCTCCTGGGGCCGCCCCTGCCTCCTGCCCGGTCCCTGTCCTGTGCGTCGGGCGCTTCCCAAGGTGCAGAGGGCGCCACTGCAGACCCGAGGTCGCGGCCACCGGCTCCTGGGCCAGGCCCCGTTTCTCGCCTCGAGCCGTCGGGGGAGGGTCTCCAGGGTGCTTGTTTGGGGAAAGCGGAAACAGACTGTCTGGGCCGCTGTTAAAATGTCAGCAGCCAAGGAAGAAGCAGCGACCTGGCGTCTGCTCGGGCCAGGTGACCTTTATGGCGGCGCCTTCTGTCCCTGGTCGCTTTTCCACTGAATGAATGACCGAAACTGTAGTAACTCATGGCCAGGGAATGGCTTAGTTATCTGAGGGAATCTTGTCTTGTCTGTGAAAAAGGGAAACTGGTGCAAATGGGAATTCAGACAGGTCAGGAGGGGAAGGAAGGGAAGGATTGAGGTGGGAAAAGAGAGAGAAAGATGATTGTCCTCTTAGGGGAAGAACACACTTGGACGTGGCTCCTGGGGCACTTCCTTGATTCCGCTGTACTCCTCAGCGGGACCGGAGAGGCGGAGGTTCCAGGAGGGAGCCTTCCAGAGTCGGTGCAGGGTTGACAGGAGACGTTTGTTTTGCTTTTCCTGAACTTTCGATCGCCAGCTTGTTTGGTCTTCTTGATGTTATAGGGTTGATAGAGAGGAGTGGAGTGATATCGGACACCCAGCTTCAGCAAGCTCTCTCCAAGGGTGAGTGGGCCAGTGGGACCTGGGTCTCCGGACCAAGAAGCCGCGAGCCTGCCCTGCTCACAGTGGATAACTTTCTTTCTGAAGTTGATTTTCCAAGGACAAAGGAATCATTAGGACAAATTATTACTGCTTCATGGTGGAGATGCTTCTGGTTTATTTTGTGGCTACCGCTGTTACTGCTTGGAGTGCCTCACCGAGCCAGCTAACAACGGCGTGCGTGAGCGCAGGGAAAGGCTTCTTGAGAAATGAAAACTAGGTTGTAGGTTTAGGAGGGGAATAGGAAGGTTAGCTCTGTCCAGCCGAAAGCCTTTTGGTAAGTTGGGGGTCCTTGAATTTCCTGGGTGACTGCATCTTGGTGACTTCTCTGAATAGACCTTCGAGGGCACTGGGGGGTGATTGTTGGAGGGCTTGGGGAGCTCAGGCAGCACTTGTGTGGGAACGTGGCTGTTACAGGAACTGCAGAAACTGGGACTGGGTTCCTGGGGAAAGGATTGGGGGTGTTGGAGGCGCTGGCAGGGGAGTTATGGGGAGGCGTTCTTATCAGTGTGCGAATATTGGGCGTTCAGGCAGCGGGAAATCTGGGTCCTTGGCGTGTTGTGAGCTCCCTGGAGTTACGTTCTTGCCAGTTTCAGCTCAATTGATCCCCCTCCCCTGAGCTATCATTGGATACATTTTACTTCATTGAACACCTGACTGCTGCTTTTTCTGTAATCCCTCAGGGGCAGTCATCTTTTCTGATTCTGTGTATAGTTTGCCTTTCCAGATCCGTGCCATTTAAGCTAGAAAAGGGGTCAGTTTTGAGATGTTGTGAAAATGTTGAAAGGCTCCTCGTTATTAGTGGGAAGTATCTGATGTTGCCAGAGACTGAACTGGGGCGCGGGGAGCACTACGGCTGCTAGACACTGCCTCACTGCGCTGTGGGTGGTGGGGGGGGAGGTGCTGGATTCAGTCTTACTGCCTAATGATTTGTGAGGATTTGTGTTTTCAGAGTAACATGTTTACCTTATGTTATCAGTTCCTAATATGTGACGTATGGGCCACAGATGCTGGTGTATTATTTCACATGCATTTATATAGATTGTTTTCAGGGAATTCAGAAATTCTGTTATCTCTACACTAGTGATTGTGCTTTCTTGATTTTTCTCTTTTCATTATTCTTAAATCCTCCTTTTTTTATTTGCATCTCAGTTTATTTATACTCGGGAAGTGCAAGACATGGCGACTAGAAAGAGATGTCAAGAGAACCCGGAATCCAGTAGGCTACAATTTGGCAAATCTTAGCTTAAAACTTCCTAAATGTTGACCACAGTGGATGCAAATGGCTCTGTGCATCGTCTGTTCAATATGGTCAGGTGACCACCCAGGTTCACGTGGTTTGTCACCAGGGTGATACGAGCCACACGGAGTGCCCTCCTCAGAGGCCATGTCTCAGAGACGTTTATTTTGAGTGGTTTTCCAGCGAGTGATGCAAGATTTATGATCCATTTTAACAGCTGCTTTTTATGCATTTGCTCAAATTTTTAGATTTTAAGTTTAGTTTTAGGTTTTCTGTTAATTTGCTCAACTAGGAGTGGTGGTCAAATACTGGACCTCATTAGCATGGTAGCCTGCCCTCCTTGGCAGGCTCCACTGGAGTGCCTTGGGGCCTGCCTGGATTCCAGTCCTGGCTCTACCAGTTTTGTGTCCTCGCCGTTACTGGGAGGGAGTATTGAGGAAATGCATGCGAGGTGCCTCCGTGATTCCTGGCACGGAGCAAGTGCTCAGTAATTGTCAGCTGTGAGTATTAGTAGTAGCTAATACACTACTACTATTCTTGGCTAACAAGCCAGCTCAAAGCTTTGATGGTTTTCCATTACCTGATGATGGTGATGATGGTTTCCACTTCCTGAACACTCACACCCCTGGGCTAGGCACTTAACCCAAATCCAAGGTCAGCGTTATTGTTTGGAGGTGGGGGAGACACCTCCTGCTCTGACTCGTGTGTTTGGGTTCCCGTATTTTCACCAGAGGGTGTTAGTCCTGCCCCAGTTCAGCTGGTCCTCAAAGCGTATATAGCTCTTTAACCCTCAGCAAGTGTCAGTCAGAACATAATCTTGATTTCAGCTGCTACTAAATATCTACCAGGAGCCTGCTTGAGAGAGAGAATTGCCTGACAGGTGCTGAGTCCACCATTCCTGAGATACTTTGAAATCAGTGTCTGGCTTAACCCAAGCTGTGTATGGGGACCCTCTCACCGTGGTCCCAATGGAGTCGCTTTTGTTAGGCGCCCCCCTTTACCTTGGGCTCTGAGCTTCCTCTGCCTTTCATCTCTGCAGGATGAAGCCCCACTCGCCCTTCAGGATGCAAAGCCCTCCTCTATAAAGTGCATGCGGGGCCAGATGCAGTGGCTCACGTCTGACCTCCCAACACTTTGGGAGGCCGAGGCAGGGGGATCGTTTGAGACCAGCCTGGACAACATTGTGAGACCCTGTTCCTTGAATTGCCCTGGGAGATTTCCTCAGCTTGTACTGGAGGTGTGTGGCCCCATGAAGCCCATAGTCACCGTTCACCCTGAGAGACGCTGGCTTTGGGGCTGACACACCTGCTGCGGGGCAGCCCCAGGAGATGGCCACCCTGTTTCTCCTGGAGCTGGAGCTGCGCGTCTTCTCAGAAACTGTGGTGGCTGTCCTGTTTTGTTTGCATCTTATAAACCTTTACCTGATTACATTTTCCTCTTCAATTTAGCTGCTAGAAAACTTAAAGTCAGATTGGTGGCTCACCAGTAATGAGAGTTTAGAGTAGAGGTAAACTTTATGACATAGTCTTAGACTCTTCACTTTCTCCTCAGCCAACATGATTCACATTTACTTTATTTTGCTGTACTGTGAGTGTCTTTGTGTTTCCTGAATTCCTTCTGGAATAAGGCAGGTTGTTAGTAAGCACAGGTTTCTGGTCCATCTCATAGCCTCAGGCAGTGGGCGGTGCTGTCCGTGCTCCCTTTCTGGGTTACCTGTGGTAGCTCTGAAGTTGCAGGGCTGCGATTTGAAGCCTGATTTAGTACACCGTGTTTCTGTTGTGTTCTGTGGTGGTTTGCTCCTCACATGTGAGCATTCACCCTGTGGCCCTGTGTTTTTCCACCACACCTCTGCCTGGTGGCATCCTACTGGATGTCTCAGCTGAGCCACTCTGTTCTGAAGATGCCCTTGTCCTCCACCCCTTTGCTTTGGGCTCTGAGCTTCTTCTGCCTTTCATCTCTGTAGGATGAAGCCCCACCCGCCCTTCAGGATGCCAGCCTTGGCAACATTGTGAGACCCTGTTTCTACAAAAAGTAAACGTGTAGTGGTGCACGCCTGTAGTTCCAGCTACTTGGGAGGCTGAGATGGGAAGATCACTTGAGCCTGGGAGGTTGAGGCTGCATTGAGCTGAGATCAAGCCACGGCACTCCAGCCTGGGAGACAGAGCGAAACCCCATCTCAAAAAAACAAAGAAAGTGGATGCGCGCTGCTCCTGCCATTGGATCATCGCAGCATTTTTCTTTTCTCTGATATGCGCCTTTTTCCTCATCGTGGGGGCTCATGTTTTCGTACTTTTCTCTCGCTACTAGATTGTGAGCTGCGTGAAGGAAGGTTCATAGTCGTGTTGTATGTACAGGCACACAAAATTTGTGCTTGGATAGACACATATCAATCCGCTTCCTTCTCCTCTCTGAGTTTCTTTATTTAAAAAAAAAATTAGAGATGGAGTCTCACTGTCTTGCCCAGGCTGGTCTCAAACTCCTAGGCTCAAGCGATCCTCCCGCCTCTACTAATATGAATTATTAGCCTATACTAATATGAATTCCTATACTAATATGATTGAAATTAGTTTGACTTGTATAATAATTGTTCTCCCAGATTGGGCTTCTGTTTTGATAGTAGAACTAAATTATTAGGCTATTTCAAGAAATTAATATATTACTGGTAGAAAAACTGAAGCTACAAAATGGCCTGGTTTCTCACTTCAGTTAAATTTGTGCTTCTGAGTGCTTGTATTGTAGGTGAAACCGCACTGAGAAGGTATTTGTGGCCCGTATGCTGATTGATTGATGAGACTTCTTTGCACAGGAGAGCTGCTAAAAATTATTACGGTGAACAGGTATGAAGAAGACTGTTCTCTGCCCTTCTTTTTGCAATAAAATGTTACAAACTATCTTGAGATTGATCCCTTTTCGGGTGTTTGGGTTTTTTTTAACATTCACATATTTCTTGGAATTATAAGAAATTAACTTTGTGCTTCTGAAGTGGGTTTCCCTTAATATAACACTGATGTATTTGTAAGGGGCATTTTTAAAGTTGTACTTTAAAAAATAATAATTCTTACATTCGTTTGAAGGTTTTTTGTTTGTTTGTTTGTTTGTTTTTGAGATGAAGGCTTGCCCTGTCACCCAGGCTGGAGTGCAGTGGCATTGATCTTGGCTCACTGCAACCTCTGCATCTGGAGTTCAAGCAATTCTCCTGCCTCAGCCTCCTGAGTAGCTGGGACTACAGGCACCTGCCACCACGCCCAGCTAATTTTTTGTATTTTTAATAGAGATGGGGTTTCACCGTGTTAGCCAGGATGGTCTCAATCTCCTGACCTCATGATCCACCCACCTCGGCCTCCCAAAGTGCTGGGATTACAGGCGTGAGCCGGGGGCCAACATGGTGAAACTCTATCTCTACTAAAAATACAAAATTAGCCGGGAATGGTGGTGTGCGCCTGTAATCCCAGCTACTCGGGAGGCTGAGGCATGAGAATCACTTGAACCTGGGAGGCAGAGGTTGCAGTGAGCTGAGATAGCGCCACTACAGTCCAGCCTGGGGGACAGTGAGACTCCATCTCAAAAAAAAAAAACAAAAAAAGAATAGAATAACTCTTGTTTAGGTGTTACAAAATCCAGGCCAGACCAATCTAAACTTTAATCTCATACCCAGTTCCTAGATGAGTCCCTTCTCCAGCTCAGGTTCGGCCTAAGCCTCAGGGTTCCTTGCTTGGTGGGCACCACCTGCTCCCTTCCCCGCCTTTGTTCCTCTTTTTCCTCTGCTGGCTCCTCCGGGGTTGGGTGTGTTCAGAGGCAGAGACAGGCTAAAGGTCTTTGGCTTTTAGGTTCTGTTGATGGGTGAGTTCCAGATATAGCTTTCTCTTGTAGGATATTTCATTTATTTATCTATTAAAAATATTTATTTAGAACACACCATTCATGTGCCAGACCCTGTTCCAGGAACTGGGGAGAGGGTGATAAATGAGATCAACAAAAATACCTGCCCACATTAAGCTCCTGTTCTAGGGAAGACAAAAAAGAAAGAAAATACACGTGTCCTTAGTACATTAGAAGGTTCCAAGTACTGTAGAGAAAAATAAAGTAGGTTGGACTCGGTGGCTCATGCCTGTAATCCCAGCACTTTGCGAGGCTGAGGTGGGAGGATTACTTGAGCTCAGGAATTTGAGACCAGCCTGGGCAACATGGCAAATCCTGTCTCTACCAAAATAAAAAAAAAAAAATTAGCTGGATATGGTGGCGTGCACCTGTAGTCCCAGCCACTGGGGAGGCTGAGGAGGGAGAATTGCTTCAGCCCAGGAGGTGAAGGTTGCAGTAAGCTGAGATCGTGCCATTGCACTCCAGCCTGAGTGACAGAGCCAAACCCTGTCTCAAAAACAAGGAAAGAAAGAAAATGAAAAAAAGAAAGCAGAGATGGGGCAAGCAGGGGAGAGGGCTGGTGCTGGGGTCACAGCGGAGGGGCTGGGGATGCACGGGAGGGGCTGGGGATGTGAGCTTTCCTGAGTTCCCACAGTTCTCTGCCCCTCTCCTGTCTCATGGCACAAGGGCCTCCTGGGGCTTGCGGTGGTTTTGCGCCAAGCTAATATCTTGTTCTTCCCAACAGACGGAGGCCCATTGAGGCTTCTGTGTCCTCCACGGGGACCAGCATTGGGCTAAACCTGCAGACACCATTGCAAAGGGAATTCAGGCAAACCCGCTGGTGAAAAATGATTCCAGCGTGGGGACAGAGGCTGACATTTCTCGCGTGGGTGATTTAATGTTGGGCCTCAATTTTTCACTCCCCCCGTAAGAGTATGACATAGCCACAACCTTGCCAGGGCCCGAGGGAGGGTGGATGGACTTATCCGTCCCATAGGTGTTGCTCGTGGCTGGGTGACTTGCTTCTGCCAACGAGATTTTCACAGACACGGCACAAGCAGAAGCCTGGAATGTGTGGGCACTGCCAGGCCTGCCGTCTAAGGCTCTTGATTTTCCCCATGAGATGCACGTGCCCCAGGGAACGGCGGCTCTGGCTGTGGGATGAGAGGCGTGTGGAGCAGTCATGGTTCCCATCCTTAGCCTGGAGTCAAGGCCAGACTAGATCAGCCTAAGCCCAGCCACGCCACGGGTGCAGGAGTGAAGAGCAAATGCTAACTGTCCATGGAATTGACTTTCAAAGGGGCGTGTCATGTGCCTCATCCCAGCAACAGGGAAGGCATTTCTCTATCAGTCAGTTGGTAAATGATTATTGACAAACAATGTGCTGGGAAGGTGGAGTGATTTGAGTAGATTTGGCCTCTATTCTCATGGAGCTTCCTTTCTAGAGGGGAAGGCAGATGATGGATGGATAAATATAAATGATTCTAATAGGTTGGTGCAGCAGTCATTAAAAGTAATGGCGAAAAAAAAAACAAAAGAAACGGGGAGGAGCCGTTGCTGCCGTTCATTAATAGTAATGGCAAAACCCGCGATGACTTGTGCGCCAACCTAACCCAGTAACCACGGGTGTGCAAATGTGGCAATGGGCAAGTTCCGAGTGCTAGGAGAGCATCTAGCTTCCCGGAGTCAGGAGACGGGGGTTGGCAACCTAACCAAGGTTAAGTCCAAGTGAGGGGGGTGGGCAGGGAGCGATATTTCAGTGGAGACTCCAAGGATGAATGGTATTTAGAGAGTAAACCCCGATAGGGTGTTTGTCTGGCACAGAGAAGAGCCTGTGCAAAAGCTGGTGGGGTGAGAGGACACCGTGTATTCATCCACCTGAGGGGCGACCAGCAGGCTGGAGCTCAGTGGGTTGAGAGGAGGATGCAGAGCCCGGGAAAGGCACCCTAGGCAGAGGGCACAGAAGCGCAAAGGCCTGGAGTGAGGCCTGAGCCTGTGTGGTTTGAGGAACGGACAGAGGCCTGTCCGTCAGGAAGGGAACGGCACCGGGGAGAGACCTTAGGCCACAGCAGAGGGCAGGGCAGAGGGCAGGGCCGTGCTGGGCACTGTGGGCTGTGGATGGTGCTGGCATTTAAGAGGGGAGACCATAGACCAGGGCAGAGGGCAGGGCCGTGCTGGGCACTTCGGGCTGTGGATGGGAGCTGGCATTTATGCTCAGGTGATGGGAATGTGTTAAAAGATTTTAAGGAGGGGAGTAACAGTTGGGATTAATGTGTATTCTGGGAATCTCAACAAAGTAAATTCATAGTTTGAATTTTCATAAGACTTCTGCACAGGCAGAGAGAAATAAGATCATGTCTACAGCTGTGTGATGATTTTATTGAAAAACATTACTAAGTTTTTAAACGTGATTTCAAATGGTGTGTTTCTGTTTCACCTTGGACATAAGTAGATTGCAAGGCTAATGGAAAGTAGAAAAGTTAATTCATGAACATAAAAGAGATATCAATTTGAAAACAAAACGTTTATTCATTTACTTCCGCTGCAGATTTCTTGACTGCTGAATTTCATGAGAAGGGATTGTTCAGGGAGGGACATGGGGCTGAAGACCTGGAGAGGAGGTGGTGCTACCGCTGTTCAAATCTGAGGGTGGTGGAGATGGAGCCTTGGGGAGGAGCAGGTGCTGCCTTTTAAGTCTATGAGAGTCGTTGAGCTGGAGGTCCAGGGAGGAGCCAGTGCTCCCACTGATGTCTTAGGTTGTGGAGCTGAAGACAATGAAGGAGCCAGTGTGGCTGTTCTGTGAGACTCGTGGAGCTGGAGATCCAGGTGGGAGAGGTGTTTTAGCTCGGGGAAGAGCTGATGTTCTACCTTGAGGGTCGTGCAGCTGCAGACCCGGGGAGGAGCTGATGTTCTAGATTGAGGGTCGTGCAGCTGCAGACCCGGGGAGGAGCTGATGTTCTAGATTGAGGGTCGTGCAGCTGCAGACCCGGGGAGGAGCTGATGTTCTAGATTGAGGGTCGTGCAGCTGCAGACCCGGGGAGGAGCTGATGTTCTAGATTGAGGGTCGTGCAGCTGCAGACCCGGGGAGGAGCTGATGTTCTAGATTGAGGGTCGTGCAGCTGCAGACCCGGGGAGGAGCTGATGTTCTAGATTGAGGGTCGTGCAGCTGCAGACCCGGGGAGGAGCTGATGTTCTAGATTGAGGGTCGTGCAGCTGCAGACCCGGGGAGGAGCTGATGTTCTAGATTGAGGGTCGTGCAGCTGCAGACCCGGGGAGGAGCTGATGTTCTAGATTGAGGGTCGTGCAGCTGCAGACCCGGGGAGGAGCTGATGTTCTAGATAGAGGGTCATGCAGCTGAAGACTCGGGGAGGAGCTGATGTTGTAGTTTGAGGGTCATGCAGTTGAGGACTTTGGGAGGAGCTGATGTTGTTCGTGTTGAGGGTCTTTCAGCTGGGGACTCAGGGAGGAGCTGATAATCTTGATTAAGGGTCATGGAGCTGGAGACCCAGACAGGAGCTGATGTTCTAGTTAGTGGATCTTCCAGCTACAGAGTCAGAGAGGAGCTGATGTTCTAGATTGAGGGTCATGCAGCTGAATACTCGGGGAGGAGCTGATGTTGTAGTTTGAGGGTCATGCAGTTGAGGACTTCGGGAGGAGCTGATGTTGTTCACGTTGAGGGTCTTTCAGCTGGGGACTCAGAGAGGAGCTGATAATCTTGATTGAGGGTCATGGAGCTGGAAACCTAGACAGGAGTTGATGTTCTAGTTAGTGGATCTTCCAGCTGCAGACCCAGGGAGGAGCTGATGTTCTAGTTTGAGGGTCGTGCAGCTGAAGACCCGGGGAGGAGCTGATGTTCTAGATTGAGGGTCGTGGAGCTGCAGACGCGGAGAGGAGCTGATGTTCTAGTTTGAGGGTCGTGCAGCTGGAGACCTGGAGAGGAGCTGATGTTCTAGTTTGAGGTTCTTGCAGCTGCAGACCTGGAGAGGAGCTGATGTTCTAGATTGAGGGTCGTGCAGCTGCACACTTGGAGAGGAGCTGATGTTCTAGATTGAGGGTCTTGCAGCTGCAGACCTGGAGAGGAGCTGATGTTCTAGTTTGAGGATCTTGCAGCTGCAGACCCGGAGAGGAGCTGATGTTCTACTTTGAGGGTCGTGCAGCTGGAGACCTGGAGAGGAGCTGATGTTCTAGTTTGAGGGTCATGCAGGTGAAGACTCGGGGAGGAGCTGATGTTCTAGTTTGAAGGTCTTGCAGCTGCAGACCTGGAGAGGAGCTGATGTTCTAGTTTGAAGGTCTTGCAGCTGCAGACCTGGAGAGGAGCTGATGTTCTAGATTGAGGGTCGTGCAGCTGAAGACTCGGGGAGGAGCTGATGTTCTAGATTAAGGGTCATGCAGCTGAAGACTCAGGGAGGAGCTGAGGTTCTAGTTTGAGGGTCGTGCAGCTGAAGACTTGGGAGGAGCTGAGATTCTAGTTTGAGGGTCGTGCAGCAGAAGACTCAGGGAGGAGCTGATGTTCTAGATTGAGGGCCCTACAGCTGCAGACCTGAAGAGGTGCTGATGTTCGAGATTGAGGGTCGTGCAGCTGAATACTCGGAGAGGAGCTGATGTTATAGTTTGAGGGCCCTACAGCTGAAGACCCGGAGAGTATCTGATCTTCGAGATTGAGGGTCATGCAGCTGAAGACTCCGGGAGGAGCTGAGTTGCTAATTTGAGGGTCTTGCAGCTGCTGACTTGGGGAGGAGCTGATGTTCTAGTTTGAGGGCCCTACAGTTGGAAATCTGTACAGGAGCTGATGTTCTAGTTTGAGGGTCATGCAGGTGAAAAATCGGGGAGGAGCTGATATTCTAGTTTGAGGGCCCTGCAGCTAGAGATGCAGACAGGAGCTGATGTTGTAGTTTGAGGGTCGTACAGCTGAAGATTCAGGGAGGAGCTGCTCGTGTATTTTTAGGGTCATGCAGCTGCAGACCCGGAGAGGAGCTGATGTTAAAGATTGAGGGTCATGCAGCTGAAGACTCTGGGAGGAGCTGACGTTCTAATTTGAGGTCCCTACAGGTGGACACCGAGAGAGGAGCTTATGTTCTAGATTGAGGGTCATGCAGCAGAAGACTCGGGGAAGAGCTGAGGTTGTAGTTTGAGGGTCGTGCAGCTGGAGAACCAGACAGGAGCTGATGTTGTAGATTGAGCGTCGTGCAGCTGAAGACTCAGGGAGGAGCTGATGTTGTTCGTTTTGAGGGTGTTTCAGCTGGAGACTCAGGGAGGAGCTGACGTTCTAGATTGAGGGTCTTGCAGCTGCAGACCTGTAGAGGAACTGATGTTCTAGATTGAGGGTCACGCAGCTGAAGACTTGGGGAGAAGCTGATGTTCTAACTTGAGGGTCGTGCAGCTGAGGACTCGGGGAGGAGCTGATGTTGACAGCTGTGCAGCTGGAGATCCGGCGGGGAGCTGATGTTCCGGTTTGAGGGCCGGGGAGCTGATGTTCCAGTTTGATGGCCGTGCACCTGGAGACCCAGGGAGGAACATCAAACTGGAACATCTGCTCCCCGCAGTGCCTCCAGCTGCATGGCTCCCAAACTGGAACATCGGTTCCCACCCGGGTCTCCAGCTGCACGGCCCTCAAACTGCAACATCGGCTATCCCCGAGTCTCCAGCTGCACGGCCCTCAAACTGGAACATCAGCTTCTCCCCAAGTCTTTCAGCTGAATGGCCCTCAAACTGGAACTTCAGCTCCCCACCGGGTATCCAGCTGCATGGCCCTCAAACTGGAAGTTCAGCTCCCCACCGGGTCTCCAGCTGCACGGCCCTCAGACTGGAACATCAGCTCCCCACTGGGTCTCCAGCTGCACGGCCCTCAGACTGGAACATCAGCTCCCCACCGGGTCTCCAGCTTCACGGCCCTCAAACTGGAACTTCAGCTCCCCAACGGGTCTCCAGCTTCACGGCCCTCAAACTGGAACTTCAGCTCCCCACCGGGTATCCAGCTGCATGGCCCTCAAACCGGAAGTTCGGCTCCCCCGCGGGTCTCCAGCTGCACGGCCCTCAGACTGGAACATCAGCTCCCCGCCGGGTCTCCAGCTGCACGGCCCTCAAACTGGAATAGTTTGAACTCAGCGGGGAGCTGATGTTCCAGTTTGAGGGCTGTGCAGCTGGAGACCCGGCAGGGAGCTGATGTTCCGGTTGTAGGGCTGTGCAGCCGGAGACCCAGGGGGAAGCTGATGTTCCAGTTGTAGGGCCGTGCTACTGGAGACCCAGGGGTGGAGCTGATGTTCCAGTTTGAGGGCCATGCAGTTGATGACCCGGCGGGGAGCTGATGTTCAAGTTTGAGGTCTGTGCAGCTGGAGACCCGCGGGGGAGCTGATGTTCCAGTTTGATGGCCATGCAGCTGGAGGCTCTGATGGGAGCTGATGTTGCAATTTGAGGGCCATGCAGCTGGAGACCTGGCGGGGAGGTGATGTTCCAGTTTGAGGGCCATGCAGCTGGTGACCTGGCAGGGAGCTGATGTTCCAGTTTGAGGACCGTGCTCCTGGAGACCTAGCGGGGAGCTGATGTTCCAGTTTAAGGCCATGCAGCTGTATGCCCGGGGGGAACTGATGTTGCAGTTTGAGGGCCGTGCATCGGGAGACCCGGTGGGGAGCCAGTGTTGCAGGTTGAGGGCCGTGCAGCTGGAGACCCTGTGGGGAGCTGATGTTCTTGTTTGAGAGCCGTGCAGCTGGAGACCCTGTGGGGAGCTGATGTTCCTGTTTGAGAGCTGTGCAGCTGGAGATCTGGTGGGGAGCTGATGTTCCAGTATGAGGGCCGTGCGGCTGGAGACCTGGTGGGGAGCTGATGTTCCAGTTTGAGGGCCGTGCACCTGGAGACCCGGCAGGGAGCTGATGTTCCAGTTTGAGGGCTGTGCAGCTGGATACCGGGGGTGGAGCTGATGTTCCAGTTTGAGGGCCATGCATCTGGAGACCCAGTTGGTAGCCAGTGTTGCAGGTTGAGGGCTGTGGAGTTGGAGACCCGGGTTGGGGGGAGCTGATGTTCCAGGTTGAGGGCCATGCTGCTGGAGACCCAGCGGGGAGCTGATGTTGCAGTTTGAGGCGGTGCAGCTGGACATGCAGGGGGGAAGTGATGTTGCAATTTGAGGGCTGTGCAGCTGGAGACCCTGTGGGGAGCTGATGTTCCTGTTTGAGGGTCTCGGAGCTGATGTTCCAGTTTAAGGCCATGCAGCTGGAGACCCGGTGGGGAGCTGATGTTCCAGTTTGAGGGCCATGCATCTGGAGACCCGGTGGGGAGCTGATGTTGCAGGTTGAGGGCCATTCATCTGGAGACCCAGTGGGGAGCTGATGTTGCAGGTTGAGGGCTGTGCACCTGGAGCCCCGGGGTGGAGCTGATATTCCAGTTTGAGGGCCGTGCAGCTGGCAATCTGGTGGGGAGCTGATGTTCCAGTTTGAGGGCCATGCAGCTGGAGACCGGGCAGGGAGCTCATGTTCCAGTTTGCAGGCAGTGCAGCTGGAGACCCGGCGGGGAGCTGATGTTCCAGTTTGAGGTCCGTGCAGCTGGAGATCTGGTGGGGAGCTGATGTTCCAGTTTGAGGGCCCTGCAGCTGGAGACCCGTGGGGATCTGATGTTCCAGTTTGAGGGTGGTGCTGCTGGCGACCCAGGCGGGAGCTGATGTTCTAGTTTTAGGGCCCTACAGCTGGAGACCCGGGGAGGAGCTGACATTCCCTTTCGAGGGCTGTGCAGGTGGAGACCTGGGGAGGAACTGATGTTGTTCTAATTTGAGTGTGGTGCAGCTGGAGATCCAGGGATGAGATGGCCCTGCGGTTCAAATATGAGGGTCCCGGAGCTGGACTCTACGTGAGGAACCAATGCTGCCTCTGATGTCTTAGGTTGTGGAGCTGGAAACTCGCGGAGGAGCTGGTATTGGTGTTTCTAGTTGAGGGTCGTGGTATTTCCAGGGTTTCACAGAGGCCAGATTTTATTTCAGTTACTCAGAAGAGAAAGAAAATGTCTTCTGAAAGAGGTGAACTCAGTCATTACCAATAGAAAAAGTATCCACTGTATTTATCTCTTATACAAACAGAAAAATATAACATTTTCCCCCTTAGAATATATATATATATATATATATATATATATATATATATATATATATATATATAAAACTTAAGGTTCTATTGTATGTATCCGAACAATAAAATCTGGAAACCAGCATGAAACTCTATTATTCACATGTTAAAATGTTGAAACTATGACCAAAATATGAAAACTGCTGGAGCTATCAGAAAGACACAAGACAAAAAGCTTCTTGCATATGTATAAACTAAATGTGATAATCTCAAAAAACTGTTCAAAATTATAATTACTTTCCAGTTTAAAAACTTTAATCCTAAATTAAAAAAAAAAATCTATACACAAACCACTGATTTGCCCAGACCAAAGAAAGAAAGAAAGAAAGAAAAGAAAGAAAGAAAGAAAGAAAGAAAGAAAGAAAGAAAGAAAGAAAGAAAGAAAGAAAGAAAGAAAGAAAAAGAAATCAGCGGTAAGGTAAGCAGGACCCAGAGGAGCTGATATTCACAGTTCTTACATGGACAACTCTTTCAGGAATTATCCATAAAGTACTTTATTTTACAACCTGCTTTTCTTATAAAACTAAAGGTGCACTTTTTTACATAAAAGTTTTATACAGTGTTAAAACCAGAACTGTGTGTAAAATACTGCATGTAAATGTTTCTAAATAGTCTTGTTCCAGTGGTTCATCGGTGACTTCTGTGGCTTCGTCATCATTATCCATGGATGATTCTGAAAGAATCTCTCCAGTTTTACTGGAATTGGATCCTACTAATTCTTCTGTTTCACGGCAGTCAGAAGAACCACTACTTTCAGGGCCTTCGTTTTCACTACCTTCAGAATGTAGTAAATCTTTCTCAGCTTGAGACACATCAGATTCCTCCATTTCATTATTTTCCTCAGAAGTCTCTTCATTCACAGTTGAGGCATCATCAGATTCTTTTTCTTGGTTTTTTCTTTCTGGGACCATTTCTCTTGATGTCATAAAAGACTCTAAAAATAAGCAAATGTTGTTGTACTTAAATTTTATATTCAAAATACCTCCACAGTTAAGTTTCGTGAATTCTGATGTTCTGTAGTTCAAATCACATCCCCTGAAATTCAGCAGCAACTGCATACAGGTGGGAGAAAAGCCCAGCGTCGACATTACAAGGAGTTCCATGATGTACAATTCTTTCACAAAAACAATGAATGCAAGAATTTGAGGATCTCCTTACTCCTCCCTTTTACAGATGGTCTCTCAATCCCTTCTTCTTCCTCTTCATCTTCATCTTCTTCTGAACGCGCTGCCGGGTACCATGGCTTTTTTTGTCTTTATCATGAGATGAAGGTGATGCTTCTGTTTCTTCTACCATAACTGAAGAAATTTCGCTGCAAGTCGCTTGACTGGCTATTTCTCCGACTTCGCCTTTTTTGTCAAACCTGAGTCTTTTTACCTCATGCCCCTCAGCTTCCACAGCATCTTCATCTGGATGTTTATTTCTCAAAGGGCTCACTGAGGAAACTTCTGATTCAGATGTCGAAGAGTCACTGAGTTTTCTCTTCATTTTGCTGCAAATTTGCCTCTTTGCTGTCTGTGCTCTCAGGCCACCCATTTGTTGTCATGGGGGCTGACAGAGAAACCTTTGGTCGATTACGTGGCCTGGGTGTCCCAGGCCCATTTATATTAGACCTCTCAGTATAGCTTGGTGCATTTCCAGGAAACATCACACCATTCATTCGATTTAAACTATTGGAATTGTTTTTCTCTGAAGAAGGATAAACACAGCTAACAACCATCACGTTCTTTTCTACTCCTCTGAGAAATTTGTCTGTTCCTGTATAGTTTCTCCTCGGATCTGTTAACAATTCACATAATCGCTGAATAGTAAAAGGGATACGGTTAAATCCAGTGACAGTTTTTCAGTATTCTTCCCTTTGTTTCATCACAGGGAATATATTCGACATTAGGGTTGGGAGGACCTCTTGGCGCAGGAGCTGAAGTTCTGAAATCATCCATCACTTTCTCCAGTTTGAAAATAAAATAGCCTTTAAATTGGGACCACGGAATCTGTTTCTCCAGTCTTGGCTACATGACAAAAGGAACTGATCCAGGACAGGACAGACTTTCTTTTTTGCCTCTTCTCAAAATCTTCCAGCGCCTCCTGGAGCCTGTCGACGTCCATGGCTTCCCGGAGTCCCTCACAGCCTCCGCCTCCCTCCGCGGGTCTCTTGGGGACCGGAACGCCTCCCCCCACCCCCCGACGTCCTCCCACTCCCTCGCACACCCTCCAGCACGCAGGCCAAGTGGGGTGGGGGGGAACGAAGGGAGCCGGGGAAGCGTGTGAGAGAGTGAGACCGACAGAGTGAGCACCTCCCCAAGCCGCTACCACCAGCCCTCCAACATGGCGCCTGGCACATCACCCTAAAAAGTCATTTCTTGGAGAAGCGATGGATGACAGAGATTAATCTGAGAGTTACTATTAATGGAGAAACTTAGAACTTACCATTTTTCCTGTGAGGTTTCGGTGCTGATACTTCTATTCTGTGAGTTCTGGCAATTGTGTCCGTTCACCCAGCCTGGTGATGCAGCAGGTGTCACAGAAGGACCCTGTCCCAGCTGGTCCTGCTCCACTGCTAGGATGGTGTGGCCTCTGATCTGTGACCGTGTCTTGAGGGGAGACCAGGCCCTTGATCACAAGCGTATCCATGGTGAGGTTCCGTGGATGGAAGCTCATGGATGTTCCTTCCTGATGTTCATCTGCCACCATGCTATTGAATGCATCTTGTTTATAACTGTCTTCTAAATATTGAATAGAAATAAAGCGTTTTTACAGTATGGGTAAGGTATAAAGAATATTGACACATTGGACACAGAGGACCTCCACCAAGTTTAGGGAGTAGAATCTGAAGAGACATAGCTTTGGATGCTCCCTGGAGGCCCTGCCTGAGTCCCAGTCCCTTCCCTTCTCCTACGGAGGGAATCACTTCCTGCTTTAGTCTTTATTATTTGCACACTTTCCTTCATAGTATGTTTCTTTCACCGTGTGTGTACATCCCTAAAAGATATGCCATTTAGTTTTTGAACTTTCTGTTTTCTTTTTGAGGCAGGGTCTTGCTCTGTTGCCTCGGCTGTAGTTTTGAACTTTGACGTGAGGGAATTCTCCTGCGTGGCTGCTCCTGCACTGCATGGCTCTGAGCACCTGCTCTGTGTCTATTTTTGTCCTCCATTCTCTCCCTGAGACCCACCCACACTGACATGGCTCATTTTCATTGCTGCATGGTCTCCCGTCGTCTGAGGGGAGCATGGGAAATGTCTTCATCTTCCCGTGGATGAGTGTTTGGCCAGGTTGGGGCCCTTAGGACTGTGTTTTGTTGGGAACGTTCTTGGGCATTTCTTTTGTACACAAGCGCAAGTTTCTTCTGGTCAGTAGCTTTCAAATTTTAAAATTTCATCCCAGGTAAAAATGTAATTTTCCTCATAACCCACAACACACACACTTTCATATACAAGCATAGCAGAAATATACTTCACAAGCGTTAGCAGTGCCTGGTGTTCCTGCTTCTCTCCATTCTCCCCAACGCTGGCATGGATTGGGTTGTGGGATTTTTGCCCGTCTGGTGGTTGTCACGTGATATCTCCCCCTGTTAGGCTGAGCCCCTCTTCATGTTTTCATTAGCCATTCCTCCACATTTCCTCTTCTGTGGAGGGCCGGTTCAGCTCTTTTGCCCAGTTTCTGTTAAGTTGTTTGAATTTTTGCACTTTTCCTTTATTATTCCTATTACTATGTTTTTGAGACAATATCACTCTGCCACCCAGGCTGGAGTGCAGTGGCGCGATCTCAGCTCACTGCAACCTCCATCTTCTGGGTTCAAATGATTCTCCTGCCTCAGCCTCCCAAGTGGCTGGGATTACAGGCACGCACCACCACGCCCAACTAATTTTTATATGTTTACTACAGATGGGGTTTCACCATGTTGTCCAGGCTGGTCTGAAACTCCTGACCTCAGGTGATTCTCCCACCTCAGCCTCCCAAAGTGCTGGGATTATGTGGGTGGCAAGCCACCCAGGCACCGAGGCAAGAGACAGAGGACACGAGCTGTTCCAGTATAATAAAATATAAAACAAGAATAGTTATACCAGATATAGATCTTAGATATGATTATATATGAATATCATTAATCATTAGTTTGTAGCAATTACTTTTTATTCCAATATTATGATAATCCTTGCTCTATAATCGTAGCCTAGGAAAAACCAGGCCATACAGAGATAGGAGCTGAGGGGACATAGTGAGGTGTGACCAGAAGACAAGAGTGCGAGCCTTCTGTTATGCCCGGACCGGGCCACCAGAGGGCTCCTTGGTCTAGCGGTGATGCCAGCGTCTGGGAAGATGCCTGTTACCAGGCGGATAGCAAAAGGTGTCAAGGAACAACACCCGATACTTAGCAGACCGGGAAAGGGCGGGGAGGGGGGGGGGTCTCCCTTTCCCCGGGGGAGTTTAGAGAAGACTCTGCTCCTCCACCTCTTGTGGAGGGCCTGACATCAGTCAGGCTCGCCTGCAGTTATCCGGAGGCCTAACCGTCTCCCTGTGATGCTGTGCTTCAGTGGTCACGCTCCTAGTCCGCCTTCATGTTTCATCCTGTACACCTGGCTCTGCCTTCTAGATAGCAGTAGTAAATTAGTAAAAATACTAATAGTCCCTGATATGCGGAAATAATGGCATAAGCTGTCTTTCTCTCTGTCTCCTCTCCCTCTCTGCCTCGGCTGCCAGGCAGGGAAGGGCCCCCTGTCCAGTGGACACGTGACCCACGTGACCTTACCTATCATTGCAGGTGACTCACATTCTTTACCCTGCCCCTTCTGCCTTGTATCCAATAAATAACAGCGCAGCCAGACATTCGGGGCACTACCGTTCTCCGCGCATTGGTGGTAGTGGCCCCCCGGGCCCAGCTGCCCTTTCTCTTATCTCTTTGTCTTGTGTCTTTATTTCTACACTCTCTCGTCGCCGCACACAGGGAGAGACCCACCGACCCTGTGGGGCTGGTCCCTGCAGGGTTATAGGCATGAGCCACCATGCCCGGCCTGCTTTTTTCTTTTTCAAAAGGACTCTTTCTAGATTATACCTATTCATTCCGGTGACTATATGTGGGGCAAAGATGGGTTTGAATCCACCAGGATAAACGTGCCGGATCTCCTCTCTGATGGAAGAAGAGACAGGGATAGAAGGGTGCAGAGAATCAGAGCCAAGAGGAGGCCGAGTCAGGCGGGGGTTGCAGGCTGCTGTGAGGACTTGGCTGCTTCTCTGAGTCTGGTGGGATTAGCAGGGGATTTAAACAGAGGAACCGTGGGATCTCCCTTATGCATTTCTGCCATGGTTGGCTCAGCTGAACACACCTCTTGAGCAAGACTTGGTCTTGGACACCCAGAGGCCCTTGGTTGAGGGTTTACCTCCTGGCGTGGCCACTGACACATCCACGTTTGTCTCCCACACGGCTGGGCGGCCCCGAGACCTGCTGTGCGTGCCCTTCTCATTGGTGGCATTTCTCAAGTTTGTCCCCTCTCAAGTCTGCCCCATCCGGAAAACCAAACACCTCTCTCTCCTACATGGAAACCCCCGTCAGCACCTCCTCCTGACTCACAGGGCATCCCGTCAACATCACAGTCCCAACCTTCCCACATGGAGAAGCTCATGGGACCCCCGATGGACCAGGACAGTGCCAGCACTAAGACGTGCCCTGAAACTCACAGGAAGAGCGGACCAAGAAGCCGGGAACAGCACGGGGCACTGGGAGCTGCAAACGCCCACGATACTGTGAGAGACGGAGAAAGGTATGACAGGAGGAGCAGACCAAGAAGACGGGAACAGCACGGCGCACTGGGAGCTGCAAATGCCCACGATACCGTGAGAGATGGAGAAAGGTATGGCCATGGCGGTCACAAAATGTTCCTCAACATTTATTAAAGGCCTAAATGGAGAACATAACGCTATCAAACCCTTAGCTAAAAACACAGGGGAAAATTCGTATGGCCTGGGGTTAGGCGAAAAGTTCTTAGACATGACACCAAAAGCATGATTCATAAGATTGACAAATTAAATTTAGTCATAAATTTAAAATTATAATTCTATAAAGCAATATAAAAATCCAAAGAGAATGAAACATGAACTATGGTCTAGAAATAAACATTTGTGAATCACACGTCTCACAACCTACTGGCACGCAGGATATATGAAGAACCATCAAAACTTAACCATAAGAAAGTAAAAACCCCAGTATTAAAGAGAGGGCCAATATTGGAACGGAGGCCTCATCAAAGAAGGTATAAGGAGGGCATATTGCCCGAGAAAGAGGCTCAACATCATAGAGATGCTGGAGAAATGCCAGTCAGCAGTACCTCTGCAAATCCATTAAAATGGCTAAAAACAGACAAAACCCATGGGCCAACCCAGGTTCTAGTGATGATGCAGAGGAACTGGGACCCTCATAAGCTGCAGTGGGAATGGGAGGGGTCCCGCCATGCTGGAAAGTGGTCCTGGAGTTTCTTACGAAGTTAAGCACATCCTTACCATGTCATCCAGCAACCCCACTGCTGAAATGTCCCCCAAGGGAAAACTTAAACGTGCACACACAAACCTGCACACAAGTGTTTAGGCCTCATTCCTCATTGCCAATAACTGGAAGAAAACAAAATGTCCGTCGGCAGGAGCAGGAGAAGGCGTGAACTAACGCGGATGCTTCCACACAGGGGGCACCAACCAGCAGTGGAAAGATGCACCCAAATGCCCCAGGTCTCCCAGGCTACATGCCCGTTGAAGGAAGCTAGTTTCGGTGGGCACAGGCCAAAGGATGCCAACACATGACATCTTGGAGAAGACAGTGTACCGTGTCGGGGAGCAGGGCAGTGGTTTCGAGGGGCTACGGGTGGAGGGGCGAATGGAGGAGCTCTCTGGGGCGATGGCGTGAGCACCTGCACCTCACTGTGGGCTGCTGCGGCTGAGGGGCTGGTACGGCAAACACTGGCTTCAGTACATGCAGACTGAAGGAGGAAGGCTCCCACAACTCAGAGACAGAGGGTGTCGCCTCCATGAAACAAAAACATATTTTAAAAAAAAACCTCTTAAAATTAAGAAAAAAACCACAAAAAGTATTTCATAAGCGCATTGACTTTGAGTTGACACAATCTACCTGGGAGCATGGAACTGAAACCACAGGCTTGGCAATCCCGGAGGGAGAGGGTGGAGGGTTTAGACCTCAATTGAAGGGCTCAGTACCTGGCTATAGGAAATAACATTTAAAAAGCAGCAGGGTGGAAATAATTTCTGCTGATGAGGTTGCATCTCTCCAGATAGCCGGCAGAGTAAATTAAAGCAATATAGTCTTGCTCTGTTGCCCAGGCTGGAGTGAAGTGGCGCCATCTCCGCTCACTGTAAGCTCCGCGGGAGAATCTCTTGAACCCTGGAGGCAGAGGTTGCGGTGAGCCGAGATCCCGCCATTCCACTCCAGCCTGGGCAACAAGAGCGAAACTCCGTCTCAAACCAAACAAAATTAGGTAACTAACCCAGGACTAAAACAGCGTAACTTTAAAAAAATAAGTCTAGGAGGTATGATGTTCATTCCCTGCAAGCCAATAAAGGTCACGTCTGGGGCATACATCTAAAAAAATAATCCTAAAGAGAAAGTTATGGTCACAAATATGTTCTGTATGGTGTTATTAAGAGCAAAAATGGGAAACAACCCAAATATCAGTAAAATGGGACTGAACCCTTGCAAATTTACTAAAATAAAATTGTTAAACATGATGCACAAGACGAAGATTTTAATAAAGTGAAAAGACAGGAAACATACTTACTAATGATTATTGGTTTATTTTTCATGCCACTTCATTCCAC
The DNA here is from genome assembly GCF_000001405.40 of Homo sapiens. Taxonomy (NCBI): domain Eukaryota; kingdom Metazoa; phylum Chordata; class Mammalia; order Primates; family Hominidae; genus Homo; species Homo sapiens. Next base: position 27,842 of record NT_187689.1, read on the forward strand.
AAAAAGATTTCAGATATCTTAGAAAAAGACACACTAGAAATATTAAAATACTATCTGAACCAGAAGCAGAATCAGGGTAAGCTAGCAGAAAGGCGTATGAGCCAAAGGGATCTACCCAGCTTTCAAAGCTGACCACGGCCGTGCGCAGTGGCTCTGTCTGTAATCTCCGCACTTGGGGAGGCCGAGGAGGTAGGATCGCTTGAGGCCACAAGTTCGAGACCAGCCTGGGCAACAGAGCAAGATCCCGCCTCTACCAAAAATTTAAAAATCAGCCGGAAGCCAGACACTAGGGACATGGCTGAGGATCGCTCCCGCCCCTCGGAGGCCAGAAACCGAGGGTCACTCCCGCTCTCTAGAGGCCGGAGGCCCCGGGCCGCTCCCGCCCACCTCCGCGGACGAGCGCCGCCCCTTCGACCCCATTCCCTGAGGTCTGGACGTTCAGGCCCTCTCGGTCTGGGAGATCCCGGAGAACCACCCACGGGGCTTTAAAAAATGTTGGTGCCCAACATCTCCCCGAAATAGGGCCCGCCCTATCTCGGTCGGGGAGCGCGGGACCTCCGTGGCCACCCAGCGCCACCGTCCGCGGGTCCGCTTTGCGCAGGCGCGGCGTCCCCGCCCATTAGACCCCTGCCCGGGCGTGTCGTGGTGCGCAGGCGCGATGTCCCCCACTAGCGCCCCGCCTTGACCCGGCCGTGGTGCGCAGGCGCAGTCTGCGCAGGGACTGGCGGGACTGCGCGGCGGCGACTACAGACGTGTCGGGGGTCCGGGGCCTGTCGCGGTTGCCAAGCGCTCGGCGCTTGGCGCTGGCGCTGGCCAAGGCGGTGAGTCCCTGCCGCGGACCGGGGCAGGGCAGGCGGGGGGCGAGGCGGCGGTAGGAGCGGGACGGTCCCCAGCGGGTCCGAGCGGAGCGGGCGCCGGGTGCCCGCGCCCCCTGCCCGGGGATCGGGAAGGGGCTGGGAGAGCCCTGGGCCGGTGCGAGGGGGAGCCGCGGAGTGTACTCGGGGGCCTGGGGAGCTCGGTCCTTAGCAGGTAGGCCGCGTCCCGGTGAAGGTCGCGACCCCGCGGGCTTGCTGGGCGTCCCCTCCGCCGCTTTGGTCCGGGCCTGGGGTCCGGCGACCTCGCGGGCTGAGGTAGCCCCTCGCCTCTGCCTGGCGGGTGGACTCGGGGAGGAGTCGTGTCTGCCCAAGGTCACCGGGGTGGAGTCCTGGCTGGGCCGGGCCTCTGCCGCCCTCTGTGAGGGTTGTCCTGCGGGGCCGCCCGCAGCCCGTGGGTGGGGCCGGCGGGGCGGGTGAAACCGCCTGGGTGGGTGCGAGGAGTGGCCGGGCTCGGCCGGGTGGGTGTCCGGTGGGAAGCGCGGCGCGCCCGAGCTTGGGCTTGCAGTTCCCCTTTCCAGAGAGCGCAAATCTGTGCATGTCCACTTCGGGATCTTGGAAGTTAAGGACCTGTACTTTGGGTCCCGTTTGGTGGCCCTTGTGCCACAAAAATGTGCCGGTGTTTAAAAGCAGCTGTGCCAGTTTTTAAAAATCAGACGGAGAGCTCAGGGCACTGACCGAGCGAGGACTCCAGGACCTGTGCTTGCCTGTGCGCTGAGTACCTCGAGGGCCGGGCTCGGCTTAGTCCAGGATGATGGTCAGGGTTATACTTCCCTGAGCCCTTGCTCTCTGAGTGTCTGAATGTGCCCTCTACGATTGCATCTTCAGAATCGGCCTTCTAGGATTTCATTTAATCAAGCGAAATTGGATAGGTTTAGTTGTTTGGTTCTTTTAAATGAACTTAGCCACCCACCTCTTAATTACAAAGTAATTTTAAATTGCAGAGTAAAAATCTCAATAGAGGAACCAAGGCATTCAGCAATATTGATTTGAATTATGCCTGTGATTGTGCAATTTTCTCCTTTTTGAAATAGTTATTGAAAATCTCTTTGAATTAAATGTGAGGATTAGTCATACAGCCATCCTGTCAACATCGGAAAGCGTGTAAACCGTTCTAGCGTGTTGCTGTGGTTGGTGCTGACTGAGCAGAGACCCCCGCCGCATCTTGGGCTCTTAGGAGCTGCTGGGAGGGCGTCCACAAGCAGGAGGTGAAGCCCATGGTCAGTGGGACTTTTTAGGGGCAATGGTAGCTTGTGGTTGGAGAGAAGCTAGATAGAGCCAGTGCCTTTGTCCCCAACCCAGATGGTGCCCAGTGTTCCTTCTGCAGACTAAGGCCCCAGGCACCTCAGACCAGATGGCAAGATAGCAAAATGGAACCAAAATTTAGTCTTGGGTTTTGTAAAAGTCTTTTTATCTTGATGAAGGTAGCTTTTCCTACAGAAAGTCGTGCGTTTTTGGGTTCTTCGTTGGCTGCTTTTGTGATTGTGTAGGCTGTACATGCAGATTCGTTTCTTGCTCATGATTTATAGGTGCATTTTATTCGATGAGGACCCCTTACTTTGCTAGATTTCGGATATGAATGTCTCTGCACTTGTTACTTTTCCCCCTCCACCTCCTGATTCAGTCATCTGAAATTCTGTATTGTTAAGCAAGGTCTAAGTATTCCTTTTAGTTATATGTTCCCCATGTTTTTTCTTAGAGGAAATGTTTGATAGTTTCTCCTAAAAAATTAATAATTGGCACAAAAGACTAGTTTTGTGTCAAAAGTAGTTTTGAGTTTTATCTAAAGACTGACATTGGCTTGAAGTTGGGCTTTCCAGATTCAAAAATCTGCCCCAGATGAGATTTAGATGCAGAGGGTTAGTGTCCTTTTCCCCAGGGGGATGGCGTGATGATTTGTTCAAGATTGTGTTATAGTAGCTGCCCCTTTTAAGGCAGCTGTGTGTGTGTGTGGTGGGGAGTGGGCAGTGTGTATTCCACATCAACATCCTAGAAAGAACGAATAAACATTTAGTGATCTCACTGTTTCTACTTACATTTGGTATAATGTACTGTTTTTATTGGTGCTATTACCTATGTTAATAGGGCACTTTACAAAATTTTCAAGAACGTTTTTATTAAAATTATTTCAAAGACTTCTTTCTTAAAATATGATTTTACCATGTAAAAAATTATACTAAGGTAGAAGAATATTCGTTCTTTCTCATTTTCTGAAAAAAGAAAAAACTAAATTAGCTTATGTCAATAAAAACAGACTAGAAATTGGAGAAATGAAGAATAATTTTTTATCCCACATAATAAGTAATTTGTGAATTGCAAGTATTTCTAAATACTTGAAGACATCCCTCACATCCCCTCTTCTGATTGCTGAGTGCATAATTTCCTAAAGCTTTTTTTTTTCTTTTGTTTTTTTGGAGACATTGTCTCGCTCTGTCGCCCAGGCCGGAGTACAGTGGCACAGTCTCGGCTCACTGCAACCTCTGCCTCCTGGGTTCAAGCGATTCTCCTGCCTCAGCTTCCCAAGTAGCTGGGATTACAGGTGCCCGCCACCACGACCAGCTAATTTTTAGTAGAGAGGGGGTTTTGCCATGTTGGCCAGACTGGTCTCGAACTCCTGACTTCAGGTGATCTGCCCACCTTGGCCTCCCAAAATGCTGGGATTACAGGCATGAGCCACCACGCCCAGCCCCTAAAACTATTCTTGATGATATTTCTGAGACTATTCAGTGGTCTTCTAAAATGCCGCCAGCAGAATGGAAAACGTATCCCCTAAATGGCTGGCCAACCTTAGCATATGGGACAGTGTGACCTCTCTCACACAGAGCCACTAAAAACTAAACACTAAAACCAGTTTTCTTGAGTAAAGGTTTCTAAGATGGAAAATTTAAGCAGTGAGATATGTCAAGTTGTAGACGTTGGCCAGGAAAAAGCCAGCATCAACCAGGCAGGGGAGAGTGTGCATCCGACATCCTCCTGTGTGATGAAGGGATGACACCTCTTCCCTCTGGGCTGTCAGCCTTTACTGTTCCAGGATACAGATCTCCTGATTCAGGTGTCCAGTGCCTTTTGAACTGACCGCAAGCCCTCCTGGACGATTGGAACTGTAATGTGGAAAGGGCTCTGATGGAGCCGGTTAAAATGCTTCATTATTTGCAAAATACCACATACAGTAATACGATCTGGATGTCTTTCCCCTCCTCCACTAAGTAGCATAAGTGAAGACTTCCCAGAGGAAGTGCGTCTTTTTCATCTCGTATCTGAGTCAGTGAGTATCCTTTTTGGAAACAAGCTTCATCCTGGTTTTCTAGAGTGCCAAGTCAGGGTGGAAAGGAGGACCTGGGGGCTCAGTCCTTCCTTGCCCCTTGGGCTGCCCTTCAGGGTTAAATAGAGGGTCCCAGCTGAGCTCTCTGGATGCACAGGAGCACCTGGGTACATAAGAAGGTGAACAGTTTTCAAGGGGAAGTTTGAATTACTATCCCCCACAGCATTTGTTCCTTCAGGACACTAACCCTCTGGATCTGTGTCTTCTGTGTCTCCAGTGGCCAACAGTGTTGCAAACAGGAACCCGAGGTGTTCACTTCACTGTTGAAGGAACGAGAGGGCATCTGCTAAAGTTTCAGATTCCGTAAGTTCATGCTTTTTGTTCCATTATAAATGATTTTTTTGGCTTGGGGGTAAGGATCTATACCAGTTTGTTTTCATATGAGTCATAGACATAAGGGAAAAATTTCTCATAGGTATCCAATGCATGCTGAAATTATTTTCAGTGTAATAATACTTAATTGCAAGTACCAATATAAACATAGATGTTAACATTTTTACTTGTATCTGTTATGTATCTATAAATTAGATTTAAATTTAGGTCAAGTAAAGCAATAAATTAAAATGAACAGTATCTGCTGTGATAGATGATAAAATCCTACTGAAAAGAGGACCGTGGGGCCCTTCCGGTGTGGGTTCCTTGGTATTGAGTGTGCCTGTTCTCTCTCTGTTGGAAAACTGAAACGTGCTGAGAAGTTCTTTTCTCATAAGCTCACAATAGCGACTGAATGCTCCTTGGTACCTTCTCAGGCATAAGCATAGGCACGGCCCTGAAGTAGAGTTGTGGTCCTCAGTCTGATCCCATGGAATAGACCCTCTACCATTCATAGAATCTGATTATCAGTCCCTTCTCCAGGTGCGAATGTGCCTACTTCTCCCTGCACTGTTCAGGGCTCAGCCCCAGGACAGGATGGAGGCCCTGTGTGCCCAGCAGTTGCTCCTTTTATCTTTGTCAAGCTCTTTCACTGGCACAAGAGTCTTCATGTTTGGCATAGTGGAACCTGTGCTTGACAGGTGAATTTTTCTTTTCCAGATTTCTGCTCAGTATCCAGTAGTGGATCATGAATTTGATGCAGTGGTGGTAGGCGCTGGAGGGGCAGGCTTTGCGAGCTGCATTTGGCCTTTCCGAGGCAGAGTTTGATACAGCATGTGTTACCAAGCTGTTTCCTACCAGGTCACACACTGTTGCAGCGCAGGTAAGAGAAAGGTGCCCCACTGTGCTCCCACTCCGTGCAGGTCCCGCGCAGCCTCGCACTTTCTACCTGGGCAGCCTCCTGCCTCCTCCCTGTGCTCCAGCCACTTGGCCTCTTGCTGTGCCTTACTCAGCTCACCCATTCAGGGGTCTCTCCCTGGAGCCTCTTCCCTGGGGACTTTGAAGGGCGGGAGCCTTGTTGTCACTCTTAATTCAGACTCCAGTCACACTTGGGTTTTCTCTGACCATCTACCCTCCCCACCCACCCCTGCCACCCCAACACCTTAAGAAAAGGAGATCATCTAAAGAGGAGGATTCAGAATTTAGGTTGGGGAAGAAAAGGGCAAGGGTTTCATTTGTCCCTGGTGCTGCTGTCTTCTGGGACTCTCTGAGGGGTAAGACGGTGGTGGGCACACACAGCCAAAGGAAGTAGGGGTACAGGGGAGTGCGACTCTGAGTATGGAGTTTATTACTTGGCAGGAAGCACTTCTAATCTTTAACACATGCCCGTAAATGCCGTTGGGAAGATTTGTTAATAAAATTATGCGGAGAGATTCATGGAGTACCTTTTCTGTGCCAGATACGTTAGGTAATAAGCATATTACAGGTAGCCTTTCACTCACTGCTCCAGTCAGCCCTTCCTGGAGTTCCCTCTGTCTCCACCACACAGATGAGGAGACTGAGGCTAAGGGATGGAATCACTGGGTGAGTCTGGGAGGGGTTGTGATCTGGAATCTGTCAGGCCTGGCTGCTCCTCTGCTGAGGTCAGCCCTCACTGGGAGTCACCATGTGAGTAGCTGGCTTTCTCTGAATCCCCCAGCGGGTGGATTTGGGCCTGGAAGACAAAGCTGGGGCTCCTGTTTGTGGCTTGTAAGGAGTGGTTGGTGTTTCCAGGTTGGAATCAATGCTGCTCTGGGGAACATGGAGGAGGACAACTGGAGGTGGCATTTCTATGACACCGTGAAGGGCTCCGACTGGCTGGGGGACCAGGATGCCATCCACTACGTGACGGAGCAGGCCCCCACTGCCATGGTCGAGGTGATGGGCGGGAGGCTCTGGGTGCTCTGGTGGTCTGTTTCCAGTACAAGAGTCCTGGAAAAAATGTAAGCAGTTGAGGCAGATGTGGCAGCCGAAAGAATGGTGATTAGCAAAGCTCACAAGAGAAGTCTTTGTCCATCATGAACTATGTATTACATGTAATAAGAAAAACTTCTCTTTGATGAAGTGTTGACATTTTCATAAAATAGGTTAATTTGGGTTTGCAGATTTGTATTAAAGTTGTTTAGTGTAGATTAGCTGTGAATATCTTGACTCCTTTAGGGTAATAAGGCTTTTGTTTGTTTTTATCTTTCACAGGTAGAAAATTATGGCATGCCGTTTAGCAGAACTGAAGATGGGAAGATTTATCAGCGTGCATTTGGCGGACACAGCCTCAAGTTTGGAAAGGGCAGGCAGGCCCATCGGTGCTGCTGTGTGGCTGATCGGACCGGCCACTCAATATTGCACACCTTATATGGGAGGGTAAGGCTGCCCCCCGTCCACCTGAGACAGGACACATAGTGCTGGGGCTTGTGGTGACAGCGGGGAATGGGTTAGCGTGCCCAGTGAGTCAGCCAGAGATTGCGTAAAAAGCAACAGAGAACAGCCGTGTGGGGCACATGCAGCGACTGTGGATGTGACAGGAGCAGGCGTGTGCCTTGAGAAGCTGCCCCTAAGGCAATGTGTGAGTTGTTGCCTCTATGTTGGGAAGTTGAATTGATAATCTTATATACCAGGTTTTCACTTGGGATATGTGACACTCAGCATGTAAGAACAGAGCAAGCAGGCCAGGCACAGTGGCCCACGTCTGTAATCCCAGCACTTTAGGAGGCCAAGGCAGGAGGATCACTTGAGACCAGAAGTTTGAGACCAGTCTGGAGAACATAGTGAGACCCTGTCTCTACAGAAAGTTTAAAAAGTAGCTGAGCATGGTGGTACATGCTTGTAATCCCAGTTACTCAGGAGGCTGAGGCAGGAGGATCACTTGAGACAGTGAGCCATGTTCATACCACTGCACTCCAGCCTGAGCAACAGGAGACCTGTCTCAAAAAAAGACAAAGAACAAGTATTTTAAGGCTCTTTTACCACCTCTGAGTTCCTGAATGGATTGGTTTGGTTTGTTTGTTTTGTTTTGCTTTGTTTTTGAGACGGAGTCTCACTCTCACCCAGGCTGGAGTGCAGTGGCGCGATCTCTGCTCACTGCAACCTCTGCCTCCCGGGTTCAAGCGATTCTCCTGCCTCAGCCTCCAGAGTAGCTGGGACTACAGGTGCACGCCGCCACGCCTTGCTGATGTTTTGTATTTTAGTAGAGACAGGGTTTCCCATGTTGCCCAGGCTGCTCCCGAACTCCTGAGCTCAGGCAGTCCACCTGCCTCGGCCTCCCAAAGTGCTGGGATTACAGGTGTGAGCCACCACACCCGGCCATGGATTGTTTTCATATTAACTGTTATCACTGGACAAAGACTTGAGGTGACAATAGTTACTGGGTAATCAGGGTCAACTTTGGCATGACCAAACAATATCCTGAACAGTATTGATTCAGAGTAATCCATGTTCTGAGCTTTGTTGTTTTCTGATGCATGGGGACGGATCAGTAATGTGCAGGTTGTTAGAACACCAGTGACTTCTCTGTGGCTGAGTGCATCGACAAGTGTGTGGTGGGAGGAGACGGCGGCTCCTTCCGGAGCAGGAGCTGTCATGTGGGGAGCTGGCCCAGGCTCACGAGAGCGACTTGCGCTGGCTGAGGGAACGGCAGGTCCAGGCGGGCAGCGCTGTCCGGCGCCTACCTTTCTGCGGTGCCGGAATCTGCTCGTCTGCAACCGTCCGCTTTGGTAGCTGCCAGCCACATGGGGCTGTTGCTAATGTGGCAGGTGTAGCTGAAGAGCTGAACGTTTTGACTTATTTTAATTAATTAAGTGGTTATGTGTTGCCAGTAGCTCCCATCTGGGCTGTGACCCCATGGTCTGCGGATCTCACTCTGGCACCAGACTCCGAGTGGAGCTGCATGCGGCCACCGGACAGTGTGGAGTGCCTCTTCGGGTTGTGTAGAAGTAGGAAATGTGTCACCAACATAGGAGCTGTTGCTGCTGCGTTCTCTAGCACACCTGCCTTGTTGGTACTGCTGGGCGTGGAATGCCTCTCGGGCTCTGACAGTGTCATTGACACTGTTGCTGATCTCCTTGGATTTACCTGGTCCATTTGGATCAAGTTCTTTCACCTATTCACATGAGCAGATATCACCTTAAAACCTTAAAGGTTGGCTTAACACTTCTTGCCCTTTTTTTTTCTTTCTTTTAGTCTCTGCGATATGATACCAGCTGTTTTGTGGAGTATTTTGCCTTGGATCTCCTGATGGAGAATGGGGAGTGCCGTGGTGTCTTCGCACTGTGCATACAGGACGGGTCCATCCATCGCATAAGAGCAAAGAATACTATTGTTGCCACAGGGTAGGAATCTAATTTCTACTTTATTTCCTTTGTAAAAATGAATAAATTTCATTTAGAGTCTCTTTATTTTAAGGAAAATAGAGGCATTGTAGAATAGCAGTTCAGACACAGGCCTTGATATAACCACGTGAGGGTGATGGCCTTTCCCAGCCATGGTTCCTCACCTGTAAAGGGTGAGGACAGCAGCACCTGCCTCGGGGTGAGAAAGCATGGCCCTCATTAGTCGGTAGTGGCTGCCGTCAGGTTCACAGCGTACCTCTCCCGATTTTAGATGAGGAAACTGTGGCCCGAAGAGTCACATGGGGTTTTCTGGCAAAATCCCTCTTGTTTTAGTGGGTTCTATGTTTATACTGATTCCTGGGATAGATAAGTCTGTCTTCTCCACATAATGAAAATAAAAAACTTTAATTTTATACAGTGGCAGTTACTTTAGCCACTTTAAAAGTTAAGAAGTGTCAGTACAGCCAAGAAAAAAAATCAGCAAAACTACAGGGTGGGAAAAAATATTTTCCAAACCATATATCTAATGATATCTTAGTATCTAAAATAGCAAAAAAAAATAAAAAATAAAAAAAAGCCCTACTAAAACCAACCTACTAAACCCTACTAAAAAACAACCCTACTAAAAATGGGCAAAGGACTTGAATAGATATTTTTCCAGAGAAGACATACAAATGGCCAGTTGATGTATGAAAAAATGCTCAACATCACCAAGCACCAGAGAAATGCAAATTAAAACCCCAATGAGTATCATCTCATCTCGCTCCAGTTAGAATGGCTGTTACCAAGAGGACAAAAGATAGTGAGTGTTGATGAGGATGTGGAGAAAAGGGAACCCTGTGTGCTGTTGGTGGGAATGTAAATTAGTACAACTATTGTGGAAAACTCTGGAGGTTCCTCAAAAGTCACAGGACTACCATGTGCTCCAGCAACCTCATTTCTGGGTGTATATCCAAAGGGCATGAAATCAGAAGCTCAAAGAGACACCTGGACCCCCATGTTCATTGCAGCGTTATTCACAATACCCGAGATATGGAAACAACCTAAAAATTTTTGGTGTTTAATGACAATGTGGTGTGTGTACACAACTGAATATTATTCAGCTATGAAAACGAAGGAAATCCTGTCATGTGTGACAACGTGGATGAACCCAAAGTCATTATGTTAAGTGAAACGACCCAGGCACAGAAAGACAGATACTGCATGTCACTCATATGTGGATCTAAAACTGTCACAACTCACAGAAACAGAATAGGACAGTGGTTGCCAGGGGCTGGGGGAATGCAGACTGTGGCGATGCTGATTAAAGGTGTAACTTCCCGTCACAAGGTGAAGTTCTGAAGGTCTGATAAACAGCATGGTGGCTAGAGTTAATGTTATAGAGCATGGTGGCCAGAGTTAACATTATACAGCATGGTGGCTACAGTTAAAATCATACAGTACGGTGGCTATCATTAATATAACTTGAAATTTGCGAAGAGAGTAGACCTTAGGTGTCTGTATCTCCAAAAAAAAGGATAATTGTATGAGGTGATAGATGTGTATTAAGTTGATTGTGTCATCAGTTCACAAAATAAATCATCACGCTGTACACCTTAAATATATACAGTATTGTTTTTTGTTTAATTCATCAATCATACCTCAGTAAATCTGGGGGAAAAAAACAAAATCCATAAAAATTTTAAAATTTTCATTATAAAAGTAGTATATGCTTACTGGGGAAACCTTTTGAACAGCACAAATCTAAAATACAAATAGGGCCAGACGCATAGTGGCTCATGCCTGTAATCCCAGCACTTTGGGAGGCCGAAGTGGGTGGATCACCTGAGGTCAGGAGTTCAAGACCAGCGTGGCCAACGTGGCGAAACCCAGTCTCTACTAAAAATACAAAAATCAATTGGATGTGGTGGTGCACACCTGTATTCCCAGGTACTTGGGAGGCTGAGGCAGAAGAATCACTTGAACTTGGGAGCCAGAGGTTGCCGTGAGCCGAGATTGTGCCACCGTACTCCAGCCTGGGCGACAAGAGTTAGACCCTATCTCAAAATAAATAAATAAATAAATAAAATATAAATGGAAGTCTCTTCTCTGATCCCAGGCTTCTATCCTACCTGCGCAGGGTAGCAGCACCACTGGCGTGGCCCCCAGTGATGTGTGTGGGGTGTGCGTGAGTAGGGGGTTGTGTGCACACAGCACTGAGAAGATGGTGCCCGGGGGCTGCCCTGTCCGTTCTGTGATCTCATTAGACAGGAGGTCCGGACGTGGGCCACTGTGTGCAGTCACTGCTCTCTGTTGTTTCCATAGGCTACGGGCGCACCTACTTGAGCTGCACGTCTGCCCACACCAGCACCAGCGACGGCACGGCCATGATCACCAGGGCAGGCCTTCCTTGCCAGGACCTCGAGTTTGTTCAGTTCCACCCCACAGGTAGGGCAGGACGCCTTGCCCGGAAGGCGTTCGGCTCGTGTGTCTTGTAAGCGTGTGGTGCCTACTCATTGCTCTTCCATAGTTTTATGTAATAACATGGTTTTGAAGATCAGCTTCCATAGCTCTCAGGTCCTAACTTCAATGTCATTTCCTTAAGGAGACTTTTCCCACACTCCCCTTCCCCTAAGGCAGTTTGGGCCACCATCTTATGCATTTCTCAAGAGCCCTAAACCCTGCCTTGGTGATACTTATGCCAGCAGTAAAGCAGGGATTGAGGCCGGGCATGGTGGCTCACACCTGTAATCCCAGCACTTTGGGAGGCCAAGGCAGGTGGATCACCTGAGGTCAGGAGTTCAAGACCAGCCTGCACAACATGGTGAAACCTCATCTCTACTAAACATAAAAAAATCAGCTGGGCATGGTGGCATGCACCTGTGATCCCAGCTACTTGGGAGGCTGAGGCGGGAGGAATGCTTGAACCTGGGAGGCAGAGGTTGCAGTGAGCCGAGATCGCACCACTGCGCTCCAGCCTGGGCAACAGAGTAAGACTTCGTCTCAAAAAAAAAAAAAAAAAAAGTAAAGCAGGAATTGTTCAGTGTCCCTCTTTGCAGTGAGGTTGTCAGCAACTCGGGCAGGCAGGTCTTCTCATTAACTGGGGTGCTCCACGCCCAGCACATGGTAGGGTCTCCATCGGGGTTTACTGAGTGAGCATTCTGAGAGCTGGGTGAATGCCGTGGAACCAAGAAGCAGCACAGGCAGATTTCAGCTTTGTAGGACAACACAGAGCTTCCGTGACAATGGGATGTAAAGTTAAGACACAGCCATGAGAGAACCCCATGTGACGTTGGGCGCTGGGCTCAGCCCACGTGACCACTGAGGGAGCTTGTCGTGGGGAAGATGAGCTCGTCTTGGGGACGTCTGACGGTTGAGGTTACGAATGTGCAATTTGGAGACATTAACTCAGAAATGACAGTTGAAGTCTTGAGTTTGGAGGAGGTTCTTCAAAATGAGTCAGAGACAGACACACACACGTCTGCCTCTTGTTTGAGGTGACTCGTCCTGGACTTTTCTGGGTTGCTTTTCTGACCTGTGGACGATGGAGACCCCTGAAGTGGTGCCAAAGAACCAGACCTGTGTCTTCTCTTTCTCTGTCAGTGTCAGCTTTCTGATCCCTGGAAGGGATGAAAATAAGAAATGGATTTGTTGTAGGTTTTTTTTTTAATTTGTTTAGAGATGGGGTCTTGCTCTGTTGCCCAGGCTGGAGTGCAGTGGAGCAATCTTGACTCACTGCAGCCTTTGTCTCCCAGGCTCAAACGATCCTTGCACCTCAGCCTCCCAAATAGCTGGGACTACAGGCATGTGTTACCATGCCCAGCTAATTTTTGAGGGTTTTTTTGTTTTTGGTAGAGACAGGGTGTCACCATTTTAAGCCCAGGCTGGTCTCAAACGCCAGGGCTTAGGCGATCCTCCTGCCTCGGCCCCTCAGGGTGCTGGCATTATAGCCATGAGCCACTGCACCCGGCCTGTTGTATTTTTTATTACTGTTTTTAATCAGCAAAATGTCAGTGAGCCCCTGAATTCCCTCTGTAATTTGCTTAGAGCTCCACTTCTCATGCTTTGTCTTCAATATGTGAGAAGTAACCACAGAAAAAAGAGCATGGAAACTTAGAAAATCAAAAGGCAGGTGAGATGCAAGAATCACATTCTTGTCTTGAAAGCAAGATTGCCCTTTTTGTATACTAATAAAAATTGTAGCTTTTGAAATACATTTAGTTTAGGGTTTTTGATCTCCTTTGTTAAAATTCGAGAGCTTGGCACGCCCTGTTTCTCATCGCACTGAGGAGTCACAGAGCCGCTGTTTGGGGCACAGACCGCCGGACTGCCCAGGTTTGGGTTTGAGCTCTGTCCTCAGCTGCATGACTGGATGTTACCAAGCGTTAATTTGCTTGTCACTGAGAAAGGGGGTCATACTACCCAGAGTTGTTGTAAGACTTAAATGAGTTTAATATGTGGAAAGCAGCTAGAACTGCCCATAGCAAGTGCAGTGTAAAGATGAACTAAAATAATCATTATTACTGTTCTTGCCACTGTTTGGGTAACTTAGATATGAATTCTCCAAGCTAGTATTCTTAACTAGTCACCACAGTATCATAGTGCAAAAGAATGTTCAAAAATTAAAACAAAATTTGAGGCATCCAACGTACACCGGGCTGTAATCAGAGTATTGGCCAGAGGTCTGTGGGCCGGCCTTTCTCCTCTCTGGGGACGCCACTCTGCCCCAGCCTCTGCTGCAGCTGTCAGCCTTGTCAGTGCTTTTTGTTATCCAGACTTTCTACTGTATCTTAACTGTTCTTTCTGTTCAGTTTTGCATATAATGCCTTCTGCATATCTTTTTTGTCTCTCCCCCAAAAAATATCTTGTAAAAAAAAGTAATGCATTTGAAATAGAGACCTAGCAATTGTTAGGTTATAAATGTGTGGTTTTTTGCAGGCACATATGGTGCTGGTTGTCTCATTACGGAAGGATGTCGTGGAGAGGGAGGCATTCTCATTAACAGTCAAGGCGAAAGGTTTATGGAGCGATACGCCCCCATCGCGAAGGACCTGGCGTCTAGAGATGTGGTGTCTCGGTGGATGACTCTGGAGATCCGCGAAGGAAGGTGCGTGTGGTTTACCACCAGCACTGTCTGAGCGGGCACACGGGCCGGGGTTGCTTCTGTGAGTTTCAGCACCGCTCGCCCTCACCTTCGTGTGCAGGCACATGTGCACAGCCACCTCTCTCAGCTGCCGGCAGGCGTCTGTTAGTCTGCGATATTTTCCTAAAGACCTACATTTTGAAAATTTTAGCCAGTTTCTTTCTCAAATCTGTGGAACAGAGTTTCTCTTAGTGTGTGTGAGTATGTGACGGAGTATGGGAGAGAGAGACACGCACCCAACCTGAAGTCGGCGTGTGAGCCTTGGGTGTGGTGTCTGATACCCACAGATGTTTTTCGGCAGCTTTCAAAGTGTGTGGGTCATTTGCCTTTCAGAAGAACAGTTTGCAGCTCTTTCATTGCCTGACCCTGTTCTTTAATGTGATAACACTTGCTAAATATCTGCTGGTATCTGGTGTGGCCTTTAGAGGTTTTACATTTTTATATTAAAAAAAAAAGAAGTCGGATGGTTTCTTGTAATATGGTGGCCCTCCGTATCCATCGGTTCCACATGTGTGGTTTCAACCAACTATGTACTGAAAATAAAATTGCATCCTTACAAACACGCAGACTTTTTTTTTTCCTTGTCATTGTTCGCTAAGCAACACAGTGTAGCAGCTATTTACCTAGCATTTACATTGTATTAGGTACTATGAGTAATCCTGGAGTTGCTGTACAACTTAAATGTAAAACTTGAAATGAGGATGATTTAAAATATGGAGGAGGATGTGCATAGGTTATATGCAAATACTCTGCCATTTTATATTAGGGACTTGAGCATCCACGGATTTTGGTGTCCGTGGGGGTCCTGGACCCAACCTGCCACGGATACGCAGGGACGACTATTTGGCATAGAGGCCTAATGCTTTTACCAAGGACAGCCGCTGCAGGCTGTGATCCCTGAGACGAGTGTGAGTTCAGTAAGGGCAGAGTTTTTGTTCTGGTTCTCAGCTGTGTCCCAGCACCTGGGATTGTCCCTGGCATACAGTAGATGCTTAGAAAAGATTTGATGAGAGGGTGGCCGTACATGAGGGGAAATTTTCCTCAGTATCAAAACATGTTGAAACTCACACGCTTCCAAGATGACGTATTCTCAGGTCTGCTGCCGTTGCCATTCTCTGCCTTATGTGATGGTGTTCTGTCTTACCAGAGGCTGTGGCCCTGAGAAAGATCACGTCTACCTGCAGCTGCACCACCTACCTCCAGAGCAGCTGGCCATGCCCTTGCCCGGCATTTCAGAGACAGCCATGATCTTCGCTGGTGTGGACGTCACGAAGGAGCCGATCCCTGTCCTCCCCACCGTGCATTATAACATGGACGGCATTCCCACCAGCTACGAGGGGCAGGTGATGGTGCTGGCTTCTCTCCCACAGCTGGAAAGAAGGCTGGGACAATGGGGCCCATCTCGCAGTTGTCTCTTTAGATCTTAGAGGAAGAGACAGATGTTTCCTTCCAGAAAGTACTGTATTGTTTGCTAAATTGCACTTGAAATTTCTATCACTGGAGGATGGAAGGAGGCTTAATAATTTATTCCTCCTTAGTAAACTGTCATAGATACATCATTTGCAGCTTTTCCCATTTTATAATTACTTTCCTATATGATCTTGTGTTATTTCTAATGAGCTTATACATCAAGGGATCTTTATAATTCCTATTTCTAATGATCTTGTACATCGAAGGATCTTTATAATTCATACCTGTGAGTGGTTTGCGGTTCACACAGAGCTTGTCAGTCACTTAGCCTCCTTGTTGGGCGAGGTGGGTGGAAGCTGTTACTTTCCCCGCATAGATGAAGAGGTGAACAGGGGGTAGAAGAGTCTGGAACATCAGTCTCCCCTGCTGATGTTCCTCCACCTGCCGTGCTCCTGGGTCTGAGCTGGAGCACAGGTGGTGAGGGCCTCGGGAACATGGGACACGGGGGACAGTCGCAGATGCTGACATTGGAGGCCCTCTGACCTGCTTGTAACAGCAGGTGCTCAGGGGCAGAGGGGAAACTGGGGTATACATTCGGAAGTTTCCTTCTGAAGAAGAGTAGCTATGGTCCTTACTTCCTTCTTAGATATGGTCTTTACTTCCCTCTCTTTGTTTCTTGGAGATGGAGACTCGCTCTGTCGCTTAGGCTGGAGTGCAATGGCGCGATCTCGGCTCACTGCAACCTCCGCCTCCCAGGTTCAAGCGATTCTTCTGCCTCAGCCTCCCGAGTAGCTGGGATTACAGGCACCTGCCATCATGCCTGGCTAATTTTTATATTTTTAGTTGAGACGGGGTTTCACCATGTTAGCCAGACAGGTCTCGAACCCCTGAACTCAGGTGATCCACCCGCCTCAGCCTCCCAAAGTGCTGGGATTACAAGCGTGAGCCACTGCATGCCCGACCTACTTCCCTCTCTTTCTCTGACCTGCAGCACAGACACCCTGTTGAGGGAGGTGGGCTTGTGGAGGAATGGGCATCTTGACATTTCACCTGAAATCTTCCTTTCCACAGGTCCTGAGGCACGGGAATGGCCAGGATCAGATTGTGCCCAGCCTGTACGCCTGTGGGGAGGCCGCCTGTGCCTCTGCACATGGTGTCAACCGCCTCGGGGCAAACTCGCTGTTGGACCTGGTTGTCTGGTCAGGCATGTGCCCTGAGCATCGCAGAGTCGTGCAGGCCTGGTAAGTGTTTTCTTCAGGACCCAGACTATTTGAGAAGGCGCAGGAGGTTAGTCTTTTTTCTTTTTTTTTGAGACAGGGTCAGCCCAGGCTGGAGTGCAGTGGCACAGTCATAGCAGCCTCAACCTCCCGAGCTCAAGCAGTCCTCAACACCTCAACCTTCAGAGTCCCAAGTAGCTGGGACTACAGATGTGCACCACCACACCTGGCTAATTTAAAAAAATTTTTTTTGGTAGAGACAGGGTCTCACAATATTGCCCAGGCTGGTCTTGAACTCCTAGACTCAAACAGTCTTCTGCCTCAGCTTTCCAAAGTATTGGGATTACAGGCATGAGCCACTGCACCCAGCCAGGTTACAAAGCCTTGATTTCTTACTGGAAATTTGCGTAGTGAGCATATAGAGGTAGTCTGGGTTTTTTCCCCTAGAAGTGATTAAACTGAGAAATCCAGAGATTATATGGTGGTAATGTTGAGACTAGATAGAGGCTGGTTGGGGATCTTAACAGTTAAGGTGACATTTTTGGGGTTACATTTTTTTTTTTTAAATTATTTTGCAGTCATTATTTTCTGTTTAGAAAAAGCACTATTAGGAAGCTGTTATTTTTAGGGGAAGTTCATTACGTATTACTTGCCTGATAAAAATCACTTATTTGCAATGAAATATTTAAAATAGTTGGCATGAATGAATATGTAACTTCTTGGTACTTAGAAAAATAATTTAGGCCATTCTAAAAGTACAACTAACCTCTATTAGAGGAGAAGGGCTGACTTAGAGTGAACAGGATTCCCACCCTCTACGGACAGATTCGATTTCACTTGCTGGTTTTCTTTTCAGGATAGCGTCAAATAATGTGCAGGAAAAGGAATACCGTGTGTGGGAGTGTGAGTCTTATGTGCACGAAGAACAGGACAGTTAGCATCGTTCCCACCTCCAGAGATCCTCACGGTGGTCATGCAGCCTCGTGTGCTCAGAACAGTGTGAGGTGGATGAGGCACTGGTGGATGTTTGCGTGGCAAGGATGGTGGGACCCCAGGCCCACGTTCTTCCCGTTAGCTTTCTCTGGTGTTAACTGTTTAGCATCATTTCTGCTGTTTTTATAGAACAGGCGCTTTTTGCTTTTTGTATGGACTCAAGTGAAATAAAAACTAGCACCGCCGTACCTTATAAACATGACCCTTTTCTATCTGTAGTTAGAAAGGTACAGGCAGTATTAAAAGGGTAGCTACTTCAGACACTGTGTCTCTGTGGATCTGACGACAGCTCAGGAGGCCAGCACATGCAGAGCCGGCGTCTCATCCCCAGCCGTTGCTGATCATCGGCGAAGGCGGAGTTCAGGTGCCTCGCTCCTGACGCCACAGGTTGTGCTTGTCTCACTCCATAGCCCTGCACTTTGTCGCAGTGAGGTCTGATACCACTTCTCTCAGAGCAGTGTAGAAATTTTGAGCTTCTCTTTCTTTGAAAATGCAGAAAAGAACATTTTGTGAGAATACCCTATACTTGACATCTGAGAAACCGCTCACACATGCAGCATCTCACGCAGAATGCTGTGGAGTCGGACTCAAAAGGCTGCACGCCTGTGGTCCTGTTGATAGGACATTCTGGACAAGGCACATCTAGGGAAGAAAAGGGATTGGTGGTTGCCAGAGGCTGTTTCCTGATTGTGCTGAGGCTTACAGACACAGCTCTGTGTGTGTCAAAGTTTGAAAAACCTACATTAAAAATGATGAGTTTATTTTACTGTATCTTTACGCTTTAATTTTTAAAAATGAAAAGGAAAGAAAAAATGCTTGTAGCATCCCTACTTCTCCCCCAACCCCCGACCCCCCCAAAAATATATATATGTGTATTTTTAGACATAGTCTCCCTCTGTCACCCAGGCTTGAGTGCAGTGGTACGATCAGGTGCACGCCACCACATCTGGCTAATTTTTAAAAATGTATTCTAGGGACAGGGTCTCCCTGTGTTGCCCAGGGTGGTCTTGAACTCCTGACCTCAAGTGATCCTCCTGTCTCAGCCTCCCAAAGTGGTTACATGCATCTATCCATGTGTTAAAATCGGTAGAACTGAGGCCGGGTGCAGTGGCTCACACCTATAATCCCACCACTTTGGGAGGCCAAGGCAGGCCGATTGCTTGAGCTCAGGAGTTCGAGACCAGCTTGGGCAAGGTGGTGAAACCCCGTCTCTACCAGAAATACAAAAATTAGCTGGGCATGGTGGCTCACACTTGGGTAGTCCCAGCTACTTGGGAGGCTGAGGTGGGAGGATTGTTGGAGCCTAGAAGGCGGAGGTTGCTGTGAGCCGAGATCACACCACTGCACTCCAGCCTGGGCAACAGAGGGAGGAGACACTGTCTCAAAAAAAAAAAAGAAAAAAGAAACTGTAGAACTGTCCACCGAAAGAAAAAAGTCAATTTTAATGGATGATCAATTTTTAAAGCGTTATAAACAAAAGGAAAAGAGACACCAGCAAGCCTAGAAGCATTTGAGCAGACCGTCAAGAGACCCACAGCCTGGTCCCGAGGAGAGGCGGTAGGCGGGACAGGGCCTGTTTGACTCCTGCATTTCATACCTCCTATCTCCTGCATGTGTTACCTATTGAAGAAAAAATACATATAATTTTATAAAAAAAAAAAACCTTTAAAACTTTTTTCAAGACATCTTGGAAACACAAGAGTTGCAAATCTTGGCCGTGCGCAGCAGCTCACACATGTGATCCCAGCACTTTGGGAGGCTGAGGCAGGTGGCTCACCTGAGGTCAGGAGTTCGAGACCAGCCTGGCCAACATGGTGAAACCCCATCTCTACTGAAAATACAAAAATTAGCCAGGTATGGTTGCAAACTCCTGTAGTCCCATCTACTCCAGAGTCTGAGGCAGGAGGATTGCTTGAACCAGGAGGTGGAGGTTGCAGTGAGCCGAGATGGTGCCACTGCACTCCAGCCTGGGCTACAGAGCAAAATTCCATCTCAAAAAAAAAAAAAAAAAATTGCAAATCTTGAAGTATAGGTGAGAGCACACAACAGTCCAAATCAGCAGGTGACTTGCAAGCACACAGCAGCCACCTTCCTCCCCCTAATGTGAAGGACAGTGGGGCGGCCGGCCCCTTGGGACCACCATCTGGAAGGTGTCATTTTTTCCCGTTAGTGGAGTGACATTTATATACACTTAATGTATATAAATCTGTATACATTTAATTTTTTTTTTTTGTAAGACAGGGTCTCGCTCTGTTGCCCAGGCTGGAGTGCAGTGGCGCGATCTCGGCTCACTGCAACCTCCACCTTTCGGGTTAAAGCAGTTCTCATGCCAGATAATTTTTGTGTTTTTAGTAGAAATGAGGTTTTGCCACGTTGGCCAGGCTGCTCTTGAACTCCTGACCTCAAGTGCTTCACCTACCTCAGCCTCCTAAAGTGCTGGGATTACAGGCGTGAGCCACTGCACCTGGCCTACATTTTAATTTTTTAATTTTAGAGATGATTTCTAGTTTATTCACTCTAAGATCACTTAATGGATATCTACTGTGTGCCAACAGTTTTGCCTTTTATGTCTGTTCTTTAAAATTGGCCCCAACTCAACAGATGGCCTCAGATGTAGGGTGGGTTGGCAGTGTGTTAGCTCAGGAGACTTACACCGTTTCCAGGCTCCTTGAGCGGCTATGCTACATTTTTGTGTGTAGTACTAAATCCATTTGTTTTTTTAAAACGGTTTTCAAAAGTTAAATTCTAGCTCTTTTTGTTGTTGTTTTAGGAGATAAAGTCCCTCCAATTAAACCAAATGCTGGGGAAGAATCTGTCACGAATCTTGACAAATTGAGATTTGCTGATGGAAGAAGCATAAGAACATCGGAACTGCGACTCAGCATGCAGAAGGTAAGAGCCTGGACTCGCTCTGGAGTGAGCAGGCTGGCTGCATACCTGGCCCTGCACTGGTTTTGTTTTTTTAAAAACAGATCTAGGGGGATGCAGGTGCAGCTTTGTGTGGATGTACTGGGAGGTGGTGGAGTCTGGGCTTTTCATGTACCTGTCACCCAAGTCGTGTGTGTTGTACTCAGCAGGTAATTGCTCATCCCCACCCCTCCCGCTTTTTGGAGCCCACAGTCTGTTAGTCCACTCCGTGTGTCCATGTGTACTCACCGTTCAGCTCCCACTTCCAAGGGAGAATGTGTGACACTTGACCTTCTGACTCACTTAGGATAGTGACCTCCCATTCCATCCGTCTGGCTGCAGAAGACATGATTGCATTCTTTTTTTATGGCCAAGTAGTATTTCATGGTATATATGTACCACATTTTCTTTATCCGGTCGTCCGTTGATGGGCACTTAGGTTGATTCCATGACTTTGCTATTGTGACTAGTGCTGCAATAAACATACGAGGCTGCACCAGTATGTGGAGGTAAACAGCAGTAGGACATACTCCTCACTGTATCAAGAATATGAAAGAGACCAGAAGTGCACTTCTTCTCCACATAGAAGGTCAGCAGGCCAGGGCAGAATTAGTGACTGCTTAGCATCCAGGACAGCCTTCTGTGGTTCACTCGTGTGTGCTTGGGCATGACCTCCGTGCCCTGACCGTCGCTGGCTGTCATGGATGAGTCACAGTGTGGAGGAGAGGGAGCCGCAGGACTGCCGGAGAAGCTCCGTCCCCAGCAGGGCAGCTTTCTCTTAGAGGTTTCCTGGAGTTCAACACAACACTGGTGCTTACATCTCAGGCCCAGATATTGATCATGTCATCATGCCTGGCTTCCAGCAGCTCGGAAACGTCTTTAAGCTAGACCTGTTGCTGCCCCTAAATATACTCAGCAGAGAGGGAGAGTGGGCGGCAGGTGGACAGTGATCTGTGCGGCCTGTGCTGCTGGGAGTCGGTCCAGTAGGACCGTCTGTGATGATGGAAATGTTGAGTGTTTGCCGTCCAGTATGGCAGCCATTAGCCATGGGGCCGTGGAGAACCTGATATATAGTCAGTCTAAGAAACTCAATTCCTCTAATAACAAGGATTCTTGTCCATGAATGAGATCTCTTGTCTGCTATTTGCAAGAATTTCTGCGTATTTTCTAGAAAGAAGTCCACTGCTTTAGTCCTATTCTGAAAGGCATTTGGTGTTAGACACAAGAGAACAGGTTCCCTGCTGACAATTTTCAGAGGCCCGTGCCCTTCGGTCTTCAGGTGAGGCTGGGCTTGAGGGAGGTTTTGTGGAACGGTGAGAAGAACAGCGTGACTAAGGCACAGAAGGCTGAGTGATGCCCTGCAGTGCTTTTGTAGGGTTGGAGGCCAGCTGGGAAAGAAGGAACCCTTGCGTTAGAGAATGGGAACATGCCTTAGGATATAGAAATGGCAAATCTGAGATAGTTTGAAGTGAGAATACTAGAAGTGTTCCCACCAAACAAGGTGTGTCTTGGTGCCTGCTGTATCCCAGGCTCCGTGAGGTGCCGGAGTCAGCACTGAACAAACAGAGCTTCCTATGCTTGCGGAAATGCATTTCGTTGGGGGAAGGGATTTTTCTGCTGACTCTGGCTATTAATAGTAACAATCAAAAAAAGAAATGAGGTAAATTGATAGAAACAGGCCCCCAAATGTGGCCATAAACTGGCCCCAAAACTGGCCATAAACAAAATCTCTGCAGCATGTGACGTGCTCGTGATGGCCAGGACGACCACGCAGGAAGGTTATGGGTTTACCGTAATGAGGGCAAGGAACACCTGGCCCACCCAGAGTGGAAAACCTCTTAAGACCTTCTTAAACCACAAACAATAGCATGAGCGCTCTGTGCCTTAAGGACATGCTCCTGCTGCAGATAACTAGCCAGACCCATCCCTTTATTTCCTGTAAGGAATACTTTCAGTAAGTCTTATCACTGGCTTGCTGTCAATAAATACGTGGGTAAATCTCTGTTTGAGGCTTTTGGCTCTGAAGGCTGTGAGACCCCTGATTTCCCACTCCACACTCTATATTTCTGTGTGTGTGTCTTTACTTCCTCTAGTGCCACTGGGTTAGGGTTTCCATGACCCAGCTGGTCTTGGCAGTAAATATTGAAAAGGAATAGATACAGTTGCCATTATTTACAGATATAATTTCCAAAAAATTTCCAGAGAATAAACGGAAAAACTAACAGAAACAAAACAAGAATGTAGTAAGGTATGTGTATAAGAGATTTGTATGTAAAAATCAGTAGCTTTGCAATGTGCCAGCAGTAATCTGCTCAGACATCAGTAAATATCTCATTCGCATTTCAAACAAAAAATTTAAAATGCCTTGAAATAATGTAACCAGAAATACGAAAAGATGATATGAAAACGTCGCTGCTAAAGGACATGAAAGAATGTAATACTAGATTCTGAGATGCAATTTTTTTCATTTGTTCTTCCTGAAAAACCATTAGGTTGATGTGCATTACAGTGTTACGATTATGTATGAGTCTAAGGAAAATCAGATGAAATGTCCAAATTGAACCACGAAGGTGCATTGGTAGAGGAAGAGACAATTAGGGTCAGTGGAGCAAAGCACAGTTAGAGGGAGAAGCAAGGAGGAGGAGGGATCACGGAGGTGGTGCCTGTGTGTCCCACAGGAAGCAAAAGCTGATGCCCAGTTCCCAGCATACCTAAGTAAACTTCAGGTCCACTCCTAGCACGTTTCTCGTGATAGTAAAACTATGAAGGAACTCAGTGTACAAGGAGCTTCTACAAAATAGGCAGAAGACAGTAGCCAGATGGGCCAAGGGCCCCAGCCACCCACGCCCCTCCCTCTCCTTGAAGACCTTCGGTTCCAACCCCACCATCAGCAGGGCTCTGCTCAGTTCCTCCTTGTGTGTATCACCACAGGGCTGCTGGCTCGTGTCACGTTCACCACCAGACCCCACATCAGGAGTCCCGCCAGGGGTGTGGGGAGGCAGTGCTGCCTGGTTGGCCGTGGAGCCGTATGGAACGTGGTGCCTCACAGGCAGTCTGCTTGGCGTCCTGGACCCTGGCTGTATCCCGCTGGAAAGGATGTGTGTGGGTCTAAGATATGTATATAATAGAAACATTTATTCAGAAGCTTTAGTCAAGACTTCATTTTTAAGTTCAGAGTAATAAACTCATAGTCTAAATTTCCTAATTTTTCTGTTTAATTTACATAAATAAAATGAAATGCAAAACAACAGGTCTAAAAGTTAAGCAGTTCTTGGTATGGCTGCTTCTATGAATTAAAAGTTTACAAATAATATTTTGTGCCACAGTCAACGCAAAATCATGCTGCCGTGTTCCGTGTGGGAAGCTTGTTGCAAGAAGGTTGTGGGAAAATCAGCAAGCTCTATGGAGACCTGAAGCATCTGAAGACGTTTGACCGGGGTGAGCAGACAGTGGGCTCTGTGCACACTGTTGGGCCCTGCCTTCTGCAGGGTGGGCTGGTGTCTGTCCCGTCAGTGCTGACTTAGTTCCATGCTTGCTGTCTGGATGGGTGCTGGCCCCCAGCTGTAAAGCCACAACCAGTGACTCCATGGACTAGCAGGCCCAGGCTGACAGCTCGGAGGGCCCGTGTGACTGGGTCCCACCTGCCCCTGATGGAACTTTTTGTGTCCCCAGGAATGGTCTGGAACACGGACCTGGTGGAGACCCTGGAGCTGCAGAACCTGATGCTATGTGCGCTGCAGACCGTCAATGGAGCAGAGGCGGGGAAGGAGTCACGGGGCGCGCACGCCGGGGAAGACTACAAGGTGCGCCTTCTCGCCACGCCCACCTGCACCTGCCTTTTCCTCCCGCCTGGTGGGACTCAGCCCCACCCCTGCATTTTCTCTGCATTTTATGTCGTTTCCCCAAAAGTATATCCAAAAAATGCCTTTTTCCCTCTGGTAACTTTGATCCCTGGGTTCTCGCCATTTTCTGGATCACTGTGACCTGTTCCTTGCTTTGGGTCGGCATCCACTGATGCCAGCAGTGGCATCTCCAAGCCAATGTGCTTTGCTGTTAGAAGGCCAAGGTTAGAAGTGCAGCCAGCGTGGCATGACCAGGAAATAAATGCCAGTTTATTAAATAACGAGTAAGCCACCGTTTCAAGCCTGCCCTATGGAGGAAATGCCAGTTTATTAAATAACGAGTAAGCCACCGTTTCAAGCCTGCCCTGTGGAGGAAATGCCAGTTTATTAAATAACGAGTAAGCCACCGTTTCAAGCCTGCCCTGTGGAGGAAATGCCAGTTTATTAAATAACGAGTAAGCCACCGTTTCAAGCCTGCCCTGTGGAGGAAATGCCAGTTTATTAAATAACAAGTAAGTCACCGTTTCAGACCTGCCTTGTGGAGGAAATGCCAGTTTACTAAATAACGAGTAAGCCACTGTTTCCAACCTGTCCTGTGGTTTGGAAAAGGTATTATAGAGCCTGTCCTGTGGTTTGATTACGGAGACTGCCCTGTGGTCACTTGTTCTTCAGATGAACTGATTTTTGTGCAGAGCACACGTGTTGGATTCTGCCTGGTAAGAGTTTTTCACATATGATAGCAAAAAACGACGGAAAGGGAAGCTTGGGGTGCAAATGCAAGTTCAGGATAAACCACATCGGCAAAAGGACAAAGGCTCCACAAGGCAGGCGCACAGGCTGGTTCAGGGCCATGTGTGGGCGGCTGGTGGCAGCCTTTCCAGTCAGCTGAACACAGTGAATGGGAAAATCATTTTTATTCACCATGAAATTTTACTGATTTACCCTCCACTAGAATATGCTGATGGCTGTGATCACTGCTCAGAATTTGCTCGTCTCCTCATACATATTAAGAGTCTTTCCTGCAAAGTATATGAATCCGTGTTTGCCAGAATACAGAATAATAATAAATTTATTATTTTTAATTTTTTGAGATGGAGTCTCATTGTCCCCCAGGCTGGAGTGCAGCGGCGCGATCTCAGCTCACTGCAACCTCTGCCTCCCAGGTTCAAGTGATTCTCCTGCCTCAGCCTCCCAAGCAGCTGGGGTTACAGGCGCATGCCACCGTGCCCGGCTAATTTTGTATTTTCAGTAAAGACGGGGTTTCACCATGTTGGCCAGGCTAGTCTCGAACTCCCGACCTCAAGTGAACCACCCACCTTGGCCTTCCAAAGTGCTAGGATTACAGGCATGAGCCACTGTGCCTGGCCAGGAGCATAAATTTAGTTGGTGACAACGAGTTTTAATTAGAATAGAAGCCAGGTGCAGTGGCTCCCACCTGTAATCCCAGCATTTGGGAGGCTGAGGCAGGCAGATCACTTGAGCCCCGGAGTTCTAGACCAGCCTGGGCAACATGGCGAAACCTGTCTCTACAAAAATTAAAAAATTAGCCAGGCGTGGTGGTACACACCTGAGGTACCAGCTGCTCAGGAGGCTGAGGCAGGATGATTGATTGAGCCCGGGAAGTCAAGGCTCTGGCGAGCTGTGATCACACCATTGCGCTCCAGCCCAGGTGACATAGCGAGACCCTGTCTCAAAAGAGAAAAAAAGTGTTTTTAATAAAAACAGGCTGAAAGAAAAGATGGAGGTAGTCTCCCAGCGCTTGGAGCAAAAAGACAAAGTATTTGATAAACTCTTAGGTACATAAAGGATGTCTAAGGGAACATGCGGACATGGATTACTCTGGACTCACTGCTGGCTGCACATCGCTGGCCAGCCATGTGGCCTCTGTGGGTTCTGAACGTGTTGATGGTGCCAACCTCCTGGGCTGAAGTGGAAATGGAATGGGTTCTAGGGCATCTGTCTCTTAGATCATTTTAATGTTTGCTGTGTTTTTTCTGTATTGCTCTGTTAGAGTAATGAGAAATGTGATGGTGTTTCTGGCCTCAGGTGCAGATTGATGAGTATGATCACTCCAAGCCCATCCAGGGGCAACAGAAGAAGCCCTTTGAGGTGCACTGGAGGAAGCACACCCTGTCCTATGTGGACGTCGGCACTGGGAAGGTCAGTGTGGAGCTCGTTCTCACCACAGCCCAGCACCCACACGGCCCCGCCCAGGTCTGCGGGCTGGCCTTGCTGATGGTGAACGCGGAGGAGCAGGCCAGATTTAAATCAACTCCCGACAGATTTGAGGCACCGCTGAAAAAGGCACTCTGACAGCAGTCGGGCTTCGGGCTGGAAACAGAATCCAGTGCCTGCAGGTGGTTCAGAGGAGCCTTAAGGAAGGGTTGCTCTGTGGTGTGGGCCAGATGGAAGTCACTGGGCAGGAGCAAGTGTCCAAGGCCTGGTGGCAGGGGAGGAGATGATGATTGTGGACCTAGCGAGAAAGTCAGCATCTGTGTGGTGGGGACAGAGCCACTACCAGAAACCAGTCCCGAGCCAAGGGAGCCCAGAAGAGACCCCTCCCCTCTCTTCCCATGGGCTGGGCCAACTGGAAGCATCTGCAGGGGAGCAGAGGGGATGTGGTGCAGCCCTTAGCATCCCCTGGGCACTGAGCAAGCAGAGAAGGGCAGAAATGGAGGCAGGGTTGGGGTAAGCAGCGTCCTGGGAACAGCCAGCCGAGGGTGTGGTAGGGGGGTTGCAGCTTGTTCCACACAAGCACAGCGTCTTGGGAACAGCCAGCCGAGGGTGTGGTAGGGGGTTGCAGCTTGTTCCACACAAGCACAGTTCACCTGTGTGGCATTTCCACTGGGCATTGAGATTCAGAAATCATGAAGATAGAAAGCTTTTACCCTTAAGCTTTTCATAACTTGTAAGGGAGAGTCGTATAATCACTTAGCTGTGTCTGTGGAAGTTACCTTTGGACTCTCACTATCATCTAGTGTGTCTGTGATTCAGGCAGTGGGTCATTTTCAGAATTTATCATGAAGGCCATTTCCTGATAGTATAGAGAGGTCACACTTCACTCGCTTAGCACAAGTCTATTTTTAATGTTTCCGGGTTCAGGTTTTTTGTTTTGTTTTTGTTGTTCTGAGATAGAGTCTCATCTCTTTTGCCCAGGCTGAAATGTGGTGGCTCGATCTCATCTCACTGCAGCCTCAACCTCCCCTCGGCTCAGGTGATCCTCCCACCTCAGCCTCCCGGGCACATGCCACCATGCCTGGCTAATTTTTGTATGTTTTGTAGAGACGGGGTTTTGCCACGTTGCCCAGGCTAGTCTTGAGCTCCTGAGCTCAAGTGATCCACCTGTCTTGGCCTCCCCAACAGGCATGAACCAACACGCCCAGCCAGTTTCAGTGATTTTTGAAGAAATACATACTCATTTTAGAAAGTACAAAGAGATTGAAATAAGAGCTCACTAACCAGAGATGACCCATTATGGTTTAAATTTCTTTGTATATGTGCCTACCTTTTCCTGTGTGTGCATATTTAATACACGGCTTGAGTATTCCTTCTCTGAAATCCTTGGGACCAGAAGTGTTTTGGATTTCAGGCTTGTTCAGACTTTGGAATATTTGCATTACACTTACTGTCTGAGCATCCTTAATCGGAAGATCTGACTCCATAGCACATTTCTTTTGAATGTCATGCTGGTGCTCAGAAAGTTTCAGATTTGGGAGAATTTCAGATGTTTGGATTAGGGATGTTCTACCTATATAAATATTTACTTTGAAGTAGAAAAACTGGAAGTAGATAGTTTAAACATGAAGTGTCTTGGTATAGACAAGGGTTCTCCCACTTTTCATGATGGGAGCATTTTTGTAAAGCAAAGCACTGAGAATCTGGTACAGTGTCATTTTCGTTGCTCTGTTCCACTCTACCGATCTGCCGTCATTTACAGTCCCCTGTTGCGCATGTAGATCATTTTTGAATTTGTTATTGGAAAATACTGCAGCAAATACCTTAAAGTTCACATGCCGTAAATCTACTTTTATAGTTAAAATTTTTCAAAAGGAACACAAGAGATGGCTTTTTGTACATTTTTGTGCTTAACTTACCACTGACTTCTTTTCAAGGTCACTGTGGAATATAGACCCATAATTGACAAAACTTTGAACGAGGCTGACTGTGCCACTGTCCCCCCAGCCATTCACTCCTACTGATGAGACAAGATGTGGTGATGACAGAATCAGCTTTTGTAATTATGTATAATAGCTCATGCATGTGTCAATGTCATAACTGTCTTTATACGCTTCTGCACTCTGGGGAAGAAGGAGTACATTGAAGGGGGATTGGCACCCAGTGGCCGGGGAGCGTGGCACTTACCTTTGTCCCTTGCTTCATTCTTGTGACAAGATAAAACTGGGCACAGCTGTTAAATAAAATATAAATGAACAAACTTTCTTTTATTTCCAAATCCATTTAAAATATTTTCCTGTTATGACTTGTCATATTTGTTGACCTAAAAATCAAATGTAATTATCTTTGTATTCTGTTACATCAAAATCCAGATATTTTGTTGCAGTTTCTTTTTTTTTTTTTTTTTTTTGAGACAGGGTTGGTGCAGTCTCAGCTCACTGCAGCCTCAAACTCCTGGGCAGCTCAGGTGATCTTCCCGACTCAGCCTTCTAAGTAGCTGGGGCTACAGGTGTGCACCACCACGCCCAGCTCATTTATTTTGTAATTGTAGGGACAGGGTCTCACTTTGTTGCCTAGGCTGGTCTCAAACTGCTGGGCTTAAGTGATCGTTCCTCCTTGGCCTCCCGAAGTGCTGGAATTATAGGTGTGAACCACCATGTCTGGCCTTGTAGTTTATTTCTAAGTTCAAATTAATGTTGGTGCTTTTCCTCCTTTTTTCTTAGCAGATGGTTTGCTAGGTGAGTGTGTCCTCGATTCTTTAAATCAGGGGTCCCCAATCCCCAGGCCACAGATTGTTCCAGTCCATGGCCTGTTAGGAACCAGGCCACACAGTAGGAGGTGAGCAGCCAGCCAGTGAGCATTACTGTGTGAGCTCCGCCCCCTGCCAGAGCATTACTGTGTGAGCTCCACCCCCTGCCAGAGCATTACTGTGTGAGCTCCGCCCCCTGCCAGAGCATTACTGTGTGAGCTCCGCCCCCTGTCAGAGCATTACTGTGTGAGCTCCGCCCCCTGCCAGAGATTACTGTGTGAGCTCCGCCCCCTGGCAGAGCATTACTGTGTGAGCTCCGCCCCCTGGCAGAGCATTACTGTGTGAGCTCCGCCCCCTGCCAGAGATTACTGTGTGAGCTCCGCCCCCTGTCAGAGCATTACTGTGTGAGCTCCGCCCCCTGCCAGAGTATTACTGTGTGAGCTCTGCCCCGTCAGAGCATTGCTGTGTGAGCTCCGCCCCCTGCCAGAGTATTACTGTGTGAGCTCCACCCCCTGTCAGCATTACTGTGTGAGCTCCACCCCCGTCGGCATTACTGTGTGAGCTCCGCCCCCTGCCAGAGCATTACTGTGTGAGCTCTGCCCCCTGTCAGAGCATTGCTGTGTGAGCTCCGCCCCCTGCCAGAGTATTACTGTGTGAGCTCCACCCCCTGTCAGCATTACTGTGTGAGCTCCACCCCCGTCAGCATTACTGTGTGAGCTCCGCCCCCTGCCAGAGCATTACTGTGTGAGCTCCGCCCCCTGCCAGAGCATTACTGTGAGCTCTGCCCCCTGTCATCATTACTGTGTGAGCTCCGCCCCCTGTCATCATTACTGTGTGAGCTCCGCCCCCTGCCAGAGCATTACTGTGTGAGCTCCGCCCCCTGCCAGAGCATTACTGTGTGAGCTCCGCCCGCTGTCATCATTACTGTGTGAGCTCCGCCCCCTGTCATTACTGTGTGAGCTCCGCCCCCTGTCATATCATTACTGTGTGAGCTCCGCCCCCTGTCATATCATTATTGTGAGCTCCGCCCCTGTCATATCATTGCTGTGTGAGCTCCGCCTCCTGTCAGATCAGTGGTGGCATTAGATTCTCATAGGAGTGGAATCCTGTTGTGAACTGCGCATGAGAAGGATCTAGGTTATGCCCCGCTTATGAGAATCTAATACTGATGATCTGAGATGGAACCGTTTCATCTCCAAACCATCCCCACACTTGTCAGTGGAAAAAGTGTCTTCCGTGAAACCAGTCCCTGGTGCCAAAAAGGTTAGGGACTGCCGGTTTAAATAACCAAATGCTAAAAGAACTGGCATAGAAGTAAATGGGCTGCTGCTTTATTTTTAGGCTGTTCTTTTTAGAGAGCAATGACAGTTATTTCCAAGTTTGTCATTAGAAAATAATATTAGGTTGGAGCAAAAGTAATTGCAGTATTTGCCATTGCTTTCAATGGTAAAAGGCACAATTACTTTTGCAGCAACTTAATATTATAAATTTGTTCTTAAAGTGTATTTTTGATAAGAAAGCCGTTTTGTTTTTCCTTCTGTTAATTTTTTGTTTTTTTCTTGGTCGAGACAGAGTCTTGCCATGCTGCCCAGGCTGGAGTGCAGTGGTGTGATCTCGGCTCACTGCAGCCTCCACCTCCTGGGCTCCAGCAGTCCTCCCACCTCAGCCTCCCTAAGAGCTGAGACTACAGGTGTGAGCCACCATGCCTGGCTAATTTTTAGAGACAGGGTTTCACCCTCTTGCCCAGGCTGGTCCCAAACTCCTGGGCTCAAGCAGTCCTCCTGCCTCAGCCTCCCAGAGTATTGGGATTATAGGTGTGAGCCACTGCCAGAAAAACGTTTCCTAAGACAAGGCAGGTCTTACATTATATTTAAATTTTTTTTAATGATGTCTTTTTTGGCAGTGCACAGCCAGAGGACAACACATCACACACAAGAAACAGTTGTGCTCATGTGATGGGGGCCTCAGCACTAGGAAGGAGTGGACTGTTGGCGCACGCAGCAGCTTGAATAAATCTGAAAGTCACTACGCTGCGTAAGAGAAGCCAAATAAAGCGCATGCTGTGTACAGAGGGTGTCGAGAATGCCTCCTACGTGACGGAAAGCAGATCCGTGGTTCCCTGCAGACTGGCAGGAGCAGATTCCAAAGGCACAGGAAGAAGCTTGCAGGTAGAATGTGTTCATTACCTTCTGCGCATTATACCACAAAAAAGCTGGGAATAAAAATGCTAACCAAAAAAAAAGGTGAAAGTAGATAAAATTTCTCAACTGTGTGATGGGTAAACGTGCAGGTTTGCTGTCATGCTTTGTTTATGAAGCTGTGGGGTACAAGGACTCTCATACGTCACTGTGGAATGCAGAACGTTGCAGCCTCATGGAAGAGGATTTGGCAGCATCTAACAAAACGACATGGCATTTGCCCTTAGACTCAGCAATTCTAGAATCTGCCTCAAAAAAAACTCTGGCAAAGAAATGAAAGGACTTTATCCACAGAGTTCTTTTCACAGCCTGAATGTGTTTGCCACAAAGTTCTTCACTGTGGCATTTGTAAAACTGGAAACAATCAAAATGTCCATCAGTAAGGGATTAGGAACATTAATTCGTGCAGTGGGGAACTCCGTACCAGAAGGAGGAATGAGGAACGCCTATTGATAAGGGGCAGAGTACATATAATATAATGCAAATATATATTTGCTTTTTCTTAAAACAGTACAAAGATAAAAATCTAAAGTGGTTGCTGTGGAGGACAGGGGTCAGTGGTGGAAGTGAGACCGAAATAGACTCTGAAGTAATATCTGGACTTTGAAATTGTAAGTGTTTTACATATTACCAAACTAAGTTTTTAAGATAGTCCCTAAAATTGAAAGAATGGTATCTGAAATGAATGAATCTAAATTCCTTGGATTGCATTCTACAGGCGCCAACCCTGAGACAAAAATTTGGAAGGTGGCCCTGAGCAGCAGCTGAAGGGAAGTGGGAGGTGAGACAGGAAAGAGGCGGCAGCATGGGGCGTCCGGGAGCCGGGTCTCATGTGGACAGCTGGGCCCGTGTTCACTGTGGGAGCTGGTGCGTTCCTTCACCAGCCCACGCTGCACAGGTTCAGGATGGTCAATTCCGGGCACCCCTGGCCTGCTCCAGGACATGCTGCTGCCACCAGAGAAAGCCCCTAGGCAGCGTCCCGGGTGCTGGTGGTGTCAGAATCGAGTTTGAGTCTGAGGAGTGACCTGGGGCTGGCTGGGCTAGGCAGCATCACGGGGTTCTGCAGCCCAACTGCACATCAGGCTGGTGACAGTCACGCAGCCTATTACTTCATGTGTCATCAGAGGATCG
The DNA here is from genome assembly GCF_000001405.40 of Homo sapiens. Lineage (NCBI taxonomy): Eukaryota > Metazoa > Chordata > Mammalia > Primates > Hominidae > Homo > Homo sapiens. The sequence continues at coordinate 60,456 of NT_187689.1, forward strand.
CTAGAACACAGCACTTCAAGTGTGCAGATTTAGTGAGCCATAGTCTAAAGACAAATAGAGCCACTGAATCCTAAATTTCAATCAATCATCTCCGTTACTCGTCTTATAGGTATTAATCCTTTGAAATTATGTGGGGTGGGAGTTAAAGCAAATAACTAATTATGTTAATGCTAAAACTAAGATTTTTCTGGCAAGGGAAAATCCTCCCAAGTCCCAGCACTTTGGGAGGCCGAGGTGGGCAGATGACCTGAGGTCAGGAGTTTGAGACCAGCCTGGCCAACATGGTGAAACGCCATCTCTACTAAAATTGAAAAATTAGCTGGGCATGGTGGCAGGTGCCTGTAATCCCAGCTATTGGGGAGGCTGAAGCAGGAGAATCGCTTGAAACAGGAGGCAGAGATTGCAGTGAGCCGAGATTGTGCCACTGCACTCCAGCCTGGGCAACAGGAACAAAACTCTATCTCAAAAAATAAAACAAGATTTTTCTGAGAAAAAGGTGTAAAACCGTATACTAAATTTGAAATAGAAATATAAGCGTGAACTCATTTGTTGTTCTTTTACCGTAGACACATTTTCTACCTCTGCCCCAGTAGCAGTAGACACATCAAGCACCTAGAAAGTGGTCTCTAATACATGAAAACCATGAATTCATAGTGGTGGTTTCAAAGCCAAAACCAAACAAACACATGTAATTGGTCACTCTTGGAGGTACCTAGGGCACTAACTCCTAACACTGGGAATGGACACTTGAAGGAAGATCAGTAATTATCCTGTCTTTTCTCTACAAATTGCAATTCAGGGAAACCTTGTTGATTAGGGAAAGTTCTTTACATAAGAATTCCTGCAAGTAAGTGAGTAAAGAATGACAGTTTAAGAATTGTCCCAGCCTGGCCAACATAGTGAAACCCCATCTCTAAAAATACAAAAAATTAGCCAGGCATGATGATGGGTGCCTGTAATCCCAGCTACTCAGGAGGCTGAGGCAGGAGAGTTGCTTGAACCTGGGAGACGGAGGTTGCAGTGAGCCGAGAGTGCGCCACTGCACTCCAGCCTGGGCAACAAGAGTGAGACTCTGTCTCAAAAAAAAAAAAAAAGAATTGTCAAATTGCTACCCCTAATGCCATGGTTCTCTAACCTGTGTAACAGGATCAGCTGGAGGGACGCTACCCCAGACCTTCCAATTCAGTCCTGGGGGGACCCTAGTCCAGACCTTCCGATTCGGTCCTGGGGGGGCCCTAGTCCAGACCTTCCAATTCAGTCCTGGGGGGACCCCACCCCAGACCTTCCGATTCAGTCCTGGGGAGACCCTACCCCAGATCTTCTGATTCAGTCCTGGGGGGACCCTCGTCCAGACCTTCCGATTCAGTCCTGGGGGGACCCCACCCCAGACCTTCCGATTCAGTCCTGGGGTACCCCACCCCAGACCTTCCGTTTTCAGTCCTGGAGGGACCCTACCCCAGATCTTCCGATTCAGTCCTGGTTCGGTCTGAGAATTTGCATTTCTAACATGTCCAGGGAACACAGTTTGAAAACCTCCACGGCTAACATGTAATGGGATGACATGGTCCAATAAATGAAGGAAAAATAACAGGTGGCAACCTCAGGCAGCTTCATCCCAACCAGTAAGAAAGTAAATCCTTTTGTAAACTAAGAGGAAGTATTAATATGGGCGTTTGAGCAAACATTTAAGTGTTAGGACAAAGAATTAAAAACTAGCACAGGCACCCCTGAAGCATGATAGGATGGCAACAGAAGGGCTGATTTAGTTTCCAAGAAATAACTGACAGGCAGTGTTGTGCGTGTGTCTACTACTTAGGAACCCAAAACAAACCTTCAGACCGTTTTCATGAGTACTGAGACCAAGAAAACCACTGGGCAGTGGGTGGTCTGGAAATGTAAATGTTGATGGTACTCCAGTAATGAGTCATGGAACAATGTTTCATATTGAAAATGTTTTTGTAAATGTGGGTTTCAGGGTTTCAAAGTGAACCCATATGTGTTAGGAGAAAGGACACACCAAAGAAGTAAAATAATTGGGTCAATATAAAAAGTAGAATATTGCCCAGAGAGAAGATGTGGATAATTCCTAATACGGATCAAAGGCACCAAAAAGGTGAGCTGTGAGTAAGATATTCAGACCTGCACCATCCCAAGCAGTAGCCACAGTGGCAAGTAGCCTCCTCACTGGACAGTGCAGCTACGGAATGATGCCATCACCGGAAAGTTCCATCAGCCAGCACCGATGCAGACCTTTGCAACTGCCCCTCACGCTGGACAGCACCTGTTTGATAGATTGTCCACTACGCAGTGAAAAGCCTGGGTGAAAAGCGGTATTTGGTAGAAGAGCAAAAAGGGGAAAAAAATTAAAAGTAGTAGGTCATTGTCCGCCAAACTGAATTCTGGCAGAAGAATGTTGGAAGCAAGATGGGAGCCACAGGAGAAAGTATCCTTGTCCCAAGACAGGAGGGGGTGCCAGGCATGGTTGGCTCTGTGCCTGGAATTCTATGGCCGGAATCTGGAAAAAGGAAAAGTGACTGGAAAAGGAAAGATTCTGTGTGCTTATGTCAAGATGCAGCCGTCCGTGATCCTGAGAAAATAAGTGAACAAAGTGGCTTTGGAGGGACGCTGTTGGATACACAAACAGATACAATGTGCACTTGCTATGCTTGTTCACACAAAGGACAGGATGGTCATCTGTTCATTGAACAACTACCTGTCGAGGGCCTATATGTGCCAAAGACATCAGATGAACAAGAGGGTGCACTGTGGAAAGCCTCAGGAACACAAGCGCCCAGAAACATTTAGAAAAATTCTAAGGAAAACAGAAAAGGCATTTTCAGATTAGCTCATAGAAATGAGACCAAAGGAAAGACTGGCCCAGTATTTGGATACATTATGTGATAAACCTTAACACAGGGAGGAAAGTGTTATCTTTCAATTAATTTCTCAACTTCTGGAGACCTTAGAACAGACCTGGCTAGGAGGAAATTGAATCCGAGGCAGGTGAGGACATAGTGGTGCCTCGATGCTTCCAGTGATTGCGTCAGCAGAACCAGGGGTGGGAGATGATCTCTCTTTTTGTTGGCAGATGGTGGTGTCTGCTGTAGCTTTGTCCCCTGGTGACGGGACTCAGGCAGTAACCCCCATCATTGGCAATACCCCCACCTCTGAGAATGTGGAGAGGACTTGTGAAGACAATGTTGTCCCAAGCAGCACAGCCCAGGTGCTGACAGGATTCAGAGTTAGAGCTTTCTTAGAGGTCAGGGTTGCGGAAGAGGCAGGGACTGCAGCTGCATAGTTTGTATATGTATCAGGCTAGTATCTTTTGTTCTAGACTCATCCATTTGTACATTCATATGAGTATGCATGCATGGTGTTTTTTCTTTTTCTTTTTCTTTTTTTTTTTTTTTTTGAGATGGAGTCTTGCTGTGTCACCCAGGCTGGAGTGCAGTGGCATAATCTTGCTTGACTGCAAGCTCCGCATTCCGGGTTCAAGAGATTCTCCTGCCTCAGCCTTCCGAGTAGCTGGGATTACAGGTGCCTGCCACCACACTTGGCTAATTTTTGTATTTTTAGTAGAGATGGGGGTTTCACCATGTTGGCCAGGCTGGTGTCGAACTCCTGACCTCAGTGATCCACCTGCCTTGGCCTCCCAAAGTGCTGGGATTACAGGCATTAGCCACTGCGCCCAGCCGTATGTCTCCATCTTTTTATTTCTTGCAATGTGTTGTTAAAGAAGTCAGGTGGTATGTGTACACAAGTAACGTATACTTGTTGAATATTTCTTATTTATCATACCCTGTCTCGTTCCAAAAGGATTTTACATGACTTATAATTTTAATATAATCCGGGGGAGATGGGCAGATTCAGCTCTGGGAGGCCAGCAGAATGGCTTTTAGGTCCTCCTTGGATTCAGAAAATACTTCTTGAAAGATATTTGAGGTAAATCTTACAGGATTAGAGGTTAGCCAGATGAAAAGAAATCAAGAGAGGAGAGAGGAGCCCCCACAAAGGACTGACCCAGGGCAATAACGGGGAAAGAACTTGGAGGTACAGAGGCAGACCTTGGTGTTTCCCAGGGTGTGGGACGTTGGGGGTAGTAAGGCTGGAGTGGGTAGAGGAAAGGGCTAGGGTGACACCACGGGGTATTAGGTGGAACTGAGGGAAACAGAAATAGGAGCAGAGAAAAGGGAATGAGAACGGGAAAGAGGGAGGTGGGAAATAGAAGAGGGAGTTTCCAAACAGCAACAACAACAGAAACAAGTGTTTTGGGTTGTGGAGCGTTTGCCCTGCAGAGAGCTGGGTCTGCCCTTGTCCCTTTTGGGGATTATGAATCAGTGCGTGGAGCCGCGCGGCCACATCCACCATTCACTTGCACTTGAGTGACAGCCAAGCTACAGTCATGAATACGTTTCTTTCTTTTTACAGAAGAACAGTAAATTGACTTTATTCCTTATAAAGGTGATACTGGAGAATGTGACATAGATTTGCTGGCACATGGGTTTCCTATGAGCAAACCCCAGAATTGGACACACGTATCTGGTGCTGCATTGGAATCATCCCAAAAAACCAAGGCTTGCATTGCATATCTATCTGCTGTCTGCTGAAGGAGCCCTGTCTGTGTGCCCAAGGAAGTGACATCCTTGCCAAGGGCTGTCCCTGTCGCAGGAGATGAAGGAGCCCTGTCTATGTGCTCAAGGACAGTGGCTTCCTTGCCAAGGGCTGTCCCTGTTGCAGGAGATGAAGGAGCCCTGTCTATGTGCTCAAGGACAGTGGCTTCCTTGCCAAGGGCTGTCCCTGTTGCAGGAGATGAAGGAGCCCTGTCTATGTGCTCAAGGGCAGTGGCTTCCTTGCCAAGGGCTGTCCCTGTTGCAGGAGATGAAGGAGCCCTGTCTATGTGCTCAAGGACAGTGGCTTCCTTGCCAAGGGCTGTATCTGTTGCAGGAGATGAAGGAGCCCTGTGTGCCTGAGGACAGTGGCTTCCTTGCCAAGGGCTGTCCCTGTAGCAGGGGAAAGCCTTTCAGGACCCTTTCTTAGAGAAATAGGTCTCAAAGTGAATGAATATACCTCCTCACATACTCACCAAGCAGCCTGCAGAGGATACAGCTTTCCATGTGGCTCAGGGAACAGTTGATATCAACAGTCTCTCAATTCCTTTATTATTATTATTATTATACTTTAAGTTCTGGGATACATGTGCAGAACGTGCAGCGTTGTTACATAGGTATATATGTGCCATGGTGGTTTGCTGCACCCATCAACCTGTCATCTACATTGGGTATTTCTCCTAATGCTATCCCTCCCCTTGCCCCCAACCTCCCAACAGGCACCGGTGTGTGATGTTCCCCTCCCTGTGTCCATATGTTCTCATTGTTCAACTTCCACTTATGAGTGAGAACATGCAGTGTTTGGTTTTCTGTTCCTGTGTTAGTTTGCTGAGAATGATGGTTTCCAGTGTCATCCATGATCCTGCAAAGGACATGAACTCATCCTTTTTTATGGCTGCATAGTATTCCATGGTGTCTATGTGCCACATTTTCTTTAACCAGTCTGTCATTGATGGGCATTTGGGTTGGTTCCAAGTCTTTGCTATTGTGAATAGTGCCGCAATAAACATACATGTGCTCGGGGCTGGGCGCGGTGGCTCAAACCTGTAATCCCAGCACTTTGGGAGGCTGAGGCGGGTGGATCACGAGGTCAGGAGATCAAGACCATTCTGGCCAACATGGTGAAACCCCTTCTCTAGTAAAATGCAAAAAATTAGCTGGGCGTGGTGGTGTGTGCCTGTAGTTCCAGCTACTCAGGAGGCTGAGGCAAGAGAATCGCTTGAACCCGGGAGGTGGAGGTTGCAGTGAGCCGAGACCGTGCCACTGCACTCCAGCCTGGCAACAGAGCAAGACTCCGTCTCAAAAATAATAAATAAACATACGTGTGCATGTGTCTTTACAGTAGAATGATTTATAATCCTTTGGGTATATACCCAGTAATGGGATGGCTGGGTCAAATGGTATTTCTAGTTCTAGATCCTTGAGGAATCGCCACACTGTCTTCCACAATGGTTGAACTAATTTGCACTCCCACCAACAGTGTAAAACTATTCCTATTTCTCTACATCCTCTCCAGCATCTGTTGTTTCCTGACTTTTTAATGATCACCATTCTAACTGGTGTGAGATGATATCTCATTGTGGTTTTGATTTGCATTTCTCTAATGATCAGTGACGATGAGTTTTTTTCATGTTTGTTGGCTGCATAAATGTCTTGAGAAGTGTCTGTTCATATCCTTTGCACACTTTCTGATGGGGTTGTTTGTTCTTGTAAATTTACTTAAGTTCCTTGTAAATTCTGGATATTAGCCCTTTGTCGGATGGATAGATTGCAAAAATTTTCTTCCATTCTGTAGGTTGCCTGTTCACTCTGCCTGGTCATATGCAGAAAACCGAAACTAGACCCCTTGCTGACACTTATACAAAAATTAACTCAAGATGCATTAAAGATTTAAACGTGAGACCTAAAACCAGAAAAATCCTAGAAGAAAACCTAGGCAACACCATTGAGGACGTAAGCATGGGCAAAGACTTCATGACTAAAACACCAAAAGAAATGGCAACAAAAGCCAAAATTGACAAAAGGTATCTAATGAAACTAGAGAGCTTCTGCACAGCATGACTGTATTTCAGTGCACGTTTACCACCGAGCTCTTAACGCTCCACCACTGTCCTGTGTCATTAGGATCCCAGCTCTGCAGCCATTCCTCTAGTTGGGCCTGGGTCGGCTCTGGGATGCCGCGGGGGGGCCGGTCGGCGGCGGAGGGGCCAGTGGGGACCCGGGGCAGGGGCGGAGACCCCTCCCACTGCACATCCCACTGCCTGGGTATCTGGCCCCCAACCGGCCTGCCCGCTGCTCCCACCTCCCATGGTGGGTCGGGGGCTGAGGGCTGGGGACTGGGGCAGGGTACCCCAAATATCTCTCGGTGGCGATCGCTCAGTCCGTGCAGTCCATCCAGCTCCTGCATTGTCCGTCCTACCAATAACCTCTCACTTGCAATTCTCAGCCCCTTCCTGCATTGTCTCCCTGTGAGACCTACTAGAACCCCCGCCTTTCACACTGCTGACCTGCTGGGGGAAAATGCACAGAGGCAGAGACGAGGCCACGCGGGAGTCCTGATCTCTAACCCCAGCCGGTCTCAGGCCTTGCCGAGGCAACGCTGCTTCCCCAGACACTCTCCCTTTCCCATTCTTTTTTTTTTTTTTTTTTGAGTTGGAGTCTCGCTTTGCCACCCAGTCTGGAGTGCAGCGGCGCGATCTCAGCTCACTGCACCCTCCACCTCCTGGGTTCAAGCGATTCTCCTGCCTCAGCCTCCCAAGTAGCTGGGATTACAGGCACACACCACCATGCCTGGCTAATTTTTGTATTTTTAGTAGAGATGGGGTTACACCATGTTGGCCAGGCTGGTCTCAAATGCCCGACTTCAGGTGATCCACCCGCCTCGAGCTCCCAAAGTGCTGGGATTACAGGCGTGAGCCATCGCGCCTGCCTTTACTTTCCCATTCTTAACGCCTCCCGTTTCAGACCTGTCCCCTTTTCCCCGCATTTCTGACTGTCACGGCACATCACAACCAGCAGACAGGGCTTCCCCTATTTCACAGGAGAAATAGAAGCCATCAGATGGGACCTCCTTCAAAGTCCTGCCACCAAACCTCAGCATGTACCTGGACCCACATGTATCCTCTTTTCCTTTGGGATTGAATTAGAGAGGTGCCGCTCGAAACCCGCTCCTGGGTGGGAGTCTTGGCTCTATCAGTTATGCCTCTATTCTGTATGTTTAACCTCGCCCTCGTAGGGGCATAAAACAGCATTTAAACAGGATCAAGCTTTCCATTTTAAAACTCCATACACTCCCTTAATTTCATCTCCTCCTCCACCTACTGCCCCATGTCTCTCCCTCTTCCTGGCTAAACGTCTCAAAAAAGTGGATACACTTTCTGTCAACTCCTAAACACTCCTCACGCTCATTTGGCCTCTGCTCCTCCCTTCCTCCTCCCACTTCATTGGAACTACTTCTGCCAAAGAGGATCCCTGAGTCAGCCTGACTGGTAACCCCAATGGACTCTACTCAATATGCAACATCCTTCACTTCTTAGCAGAGTTTGAAACAGCCTGACTCTCCTCTTCTGGCAACATTCTTTTCCTTGGTTTGGGGACGCTGTACTGTTCTGGTTTTGCCCCTCCCTCCGAGCATTCCTTGTGTTTGTCCTGGCCCATTTTCTCCTCTCATTCTACATCCTCTCCCCGGGGATTTTAGCTTCTCTCACGGCTCAGGTTACCATCTCCATAGTGATGACTATCAAATTCTGTACCTCATTTCCAGAGGCTCCTGACAGACTTGCTTGGTCAATATACTACTGGACATATTCATGAGACTGTCTCACACAGGCATCTCGAACCCAGTGTGTCCCACAATTCTCTTCCTATCCATGCCTGTTCCTCTTCCACTGCCTCATATGTCGGTGACTGTCCACCTTCTCTCTCTCTCCCCCTCTCCGTTTGGCTCATAGGAAAAGTGTCACCAAGGGCTGTAAGTGCAGATTTCTAATTATCCCCTAAATTTGAACATTTTTCCTCTCGAAAGTGTATGGCCATTACCCTATTACAGATCAACATCTTCAATCACTGGAATGATGGCAATAATCTAATTGGGTTCATTTTATCCTCTATCTAACAATGACAACTCATTGCCTACACAGCAGGTAGAAGGAGTTTGTTTTCAGAATTGCCCTCTGACCTATTTAAGACGCTCAGATATTCCCTGAGGCTCCTTGGCCTGGCCACAAAGGCCCTACACATTCTGGCTGCTTCCTCCTTTCCAGCATCCTCTCTCACGTCTCCTCTCCTCAGTTCCACCCTCAGGAGGCACCAGAATTCCTCACTTCTTTGACTACAAGGCACCGTCTTACTCCCAAGACCAGTGAATCCGAAGGTGGACCACCAGCTGAGGGACTAGATTCCAGACTGAATAGAACAACTTTCCCTGTCTCTCCACATAAAGTGTGTTTGTTTTTCCTCTTACAGGTTTCCTTAATGACAACAAAAAAGGGAGTAATCCTACCCACTGTAAGAGTCATGACTCTTGATTGCAGCTGACAGAAACTCATGACAGCCTGCTTTAGATGAAGGGGGAGAGAAGGACTGGAAGAATCTTGGAGTTGGGAATGTCACACGTAATTGAAGGAAGAACAAGAAAACTATAGTAAAGAACCCTGGGGTGGTGATGTAGTCATGGGCCAAGTGTCCTGGAACCCTGGGGTGGTGATGTAGTTGTGGGCCAAGTGTCCTGGAACCCTGGGGTGGTGATGTAGTCATGGGCCAAGTGTCCTGGAACCCTGGGGTGGTGATGTAGTTGTGGGCCAAGTGTCCTGGGTTTTGGGTGGAGAAAGAGTCCCCTAGATAAGTTATTAGGTGGGTGCAAAGGTAATTGCAGTTTTTCCCATTATTTTAATTGCGAAAACAGCAATTACCTTTGCACCAACCTGATGGAGTCCCCCTTGCCATGCTTCTCTCTGTGAAAAACCCCAAGCCGAAGTCAGCATAACATCCACAGGACTCTATGTTTGCAAAAGCCAGCTTAGCTATATTACATGTATAAGCACATTTTTTCAATAAGTCAGCCTTAGCTTACTGTAACTTTTTAACTTTATAAACTTAGTATTTTAACTTTTTAAACTTTTTTGTTGAAAACTAAGACACAAAAACACATGTTAGCCTAGATCCACACAGGGTCAGGGTCATCAGTATCACTGTCTTCCACCTCCACATTTTGTCTCTCTGGAAGGTCTTCAGGGGCAATAACACACATGGAGCTGTCATCGCCTGTGGTAACAATGCCTTCTACAGTACTTCCCAAAGGGCCTGCTAGTTCACTTAATTCTTTTATAGAGAGAAGGAGTACACTCTAAAACACTGATCAATAGTATATTATAGTAAATACATAAACCAGGAACACATTTATTATCATTATCACGTATTGTGTATTGTACAGAATGGTGTGTGCTGTGCTATCCAGGAACACATTTATTATCATTATCAAGTATTGTGTACTGTACAGAATGGTGTGCGCTGTGCTTTTATGCAAGTGGCAGCACAGTAGCTTTACACGAGCATCACTAGACACATGAGTAGCATTGCACTCGGCAACAGGAATTTTTTCAGGCCCATTATTATAATCTTATGGGACCGCATCCTATATGCAGTTTGTCATTGACCAAAATGTCCTTATGCGATGCATGACTATATTTGCAAAGGACTAGTATCTAGAATACATTTAAAAGTCTTAAAATAGTAACAAAACAAAGAATGCAATTAGAACATGAGCAAAAGATACAAAGCAACATTTCACTGGAGAAGATATACAGATTGCAAATAAGCACATGAAAAGATGTTTGATACCATTAGGGAAACGCTTCTTTAAACCAGGAGATATCACCACGTGTTAGAATCAACAAAATAAGGCCAGGCATGGTGGCTCACACCTGTAATCCCAACACTTTGGGAGGCTGGGGCAGGCAGATCACATGAGATCAGGAATTCAAGACCAACCTGGCCAACATGGCAAAACCCTGTCTCTGCTGAAAACACAAAAATTAGCCAGGTGTGGTGGCACACGCCTGTAGTCCTAGCACCTTGGGAGGCTGAGGCAAGATAATTGCTTAAACCCAGGAGACGGAGGTTGCAGTAAGCTGAGATCATGCCACTGCGCTCCAGCCTGGGCGACAGAGCAAGATTATGTCTCAAAAAAAAAAAAAAAAAAAAGAATCACCAAAATAAAAAATAGTAACAATACTATTGTCAAGGATGCAAAGGAACTGTACCACTCAATCACTGCTGTGAGAATTTAAAGTGGTGCAGCCACTCTGGGAAACAGCTTGGCTGTTTTTTTTTATGACTGAATGTGCAACTACTATATGATGCAGTAATTTCATTTTTGCACATTTATCCCGGAGAAATGAAAACATATATTCACACAAAACCTGTATATGAATGCTAATAAAAGTCAATTGGCCAGGTGTGGTGGCTCATGCCTGTAATCCCAGCACTTTGGGAGGCTGAGGCAGTGGATCACCTGAGGTCAGGAGTTTGAGACCAGCCTGGCCAACGTGGTGAAAACTCGTCTCTACTAAAAATACAGCAATTAGCTGGGTGTAATAGTAGCCACCTGTAATCCCAGCTACTGGGGAGGCTGAAGCAGAAGAACCTCTTGAACCCGGGAGGCAGAGGTTGCAGTGAGCTGAGATCGTACCACTGCACTCCAGCCTGGGCGATAGAGTGAGACTCTGTCTCAAAAAATAAAATAAAATAAATAAAAAGATTAGATAATCTGCAAAGTTCCTGTGAGCGCTGTCATTTTGTCACTCTGGTTTTTCAGATTCTTCCCCTGGAGGCTGGAGTTTCCAGGATGTCAAAATTACCTCTGCTTGGGTGAGCTATTTCAAGCAGCTGGGATACCTGTGTCACTCCTGCTGTCTGCCAGTGACTGCCCAGGTGTCTGCTGGTTCCTCCCCAGGAGTAGGGAGGAACCAGGTGGGCTGGCTGGGATGGGTGGATATTTAAAGACCAGGCCTTGGACGCTGCAGCACTTCTATCTCTGCTTGATGCCTGCTGCCACGTGGCTGGTCCTCCTCCTCCTGCTGTGGCTGAGCCTTGGGGTGAAGACAGGTGAGGAGCTAGGCTGGCATCTGTGCTACAGGTCAAAGAGACCCCAATCTCTGCTCTCTCATTCATTCAATCAATTAATCTGTTTTGTCTCTGGCATGACCCACCTCCTGTGACCCAGCATTCATTAATTCATTAATCAAATAATTCATGTATTCAGACACTTATTAAGTACCGACTATATGGTTGATGTGGCTTCTTTGTGTATCCAGTTTTATATCTGGATAAGATGTCTTTGGATGATCAGCTTGGGAGGGTCTAGTATCCAGAGGATGCTCCCTCGGATAGAGGCAGCGTGGGCACTGTGGGTGGCTGGGGTGGACGGGACAGGAGGGAAGGTAGGTGTGATAAACCCAGATCCAGATTAACAGGCAGACTCACTGGGCAATTTCCAGGCACCAGTCTACTGGGTTTATTCAAACATCCCTGGAAATACAACAGGGTGAATACAGTTGCATTTACTAGAACTTCTCTCTCTCTCTCCTCTCTCTCTCTTTTTAATTTTTTTTTTTCCAGACAGAGTCTGCTCTGTCCCCCGCCAGGCTGGAGTGCAGTGGTACGATCTCGGCTCACTGCAACCTCCACCTTCTGGGTTCAAGCCATTCTCCTGCCTCAGCCTCCCGAGTAGCTGGGATTATAGGCATGCACCACCATGCCTGGCTAATTTTTGGCATTTTAAATAGAGACAGGGTTTCGCCATGTTAGCCAGGCTAGTCTTGAACTTCTGACTTCAGGTGATCTGCCCACCTCCGCCTCCCAAAGTGTTGGGATTACAGGTGTGAGCCACCGTGCCTGGCCCTAGAACTTCTCTTGGGAGAAAACTAGATGTCATTGGTAGGAACACAGTCAGCTGTTGCTTAATGATGGAGACACATTCTGAGAAATGCATCATCAGATGATTTCTTTGTTGTATGAATATCATAGAGTTCACACAACAATGAAATCGAGAGTTTACATAAACCTAGATGGTTTATATATATATTTATTTACATGTTTGTTTTCCACATGGAAAGCCACATGTCCCAGCACATGTCCCATTACTGAACATCAGTCATTTCCCCTGCTTGATCCTCAAGGCCAATATCGAGCACCATATATCGGGTTTCTGCATATGCCCTATTATAATCTTATGGGGCCACCGTCATATATATGGTCCATCATCGGTCTAAACATCGTGATGTGGCACAAGGCTGTACTTCTTGGCTGGGTGCGGTGGCTCACGCCTGTAATCCCAGCACTTTGAGAGGCCGAGACGGGTGGATCACTTGAGGTCAGGAGTTCAAGACCAGCCTGGGTAACATGGTGAAATACCATCGCTATTAAAATACAAAAATTAGCCAGGTGTGGTGGTGGGTGCCTGTAATCCCAGCTACTTGGGAGGCTGAGGCAGGAGAATCACTTGAACCTGGGAGACAGAGGTTGCAGTGACCCGAGATTGCGCCACTGCGCTCTAGCCTGGGTGACAGAGGGAGACTCCATCTCAGGAAAAAAAAAAAAAAAAAACCCAAAGCTATTTATTGTGGAAAAATTCAAACACATGCAAAAGTAAAGAGAATAGGATGATGAACCCAAGGTACCAGTTGGCCACCTTCAATATTATCAACATTATGCTCAAGCTCTTATCCCCCATATTTAAAAAATATAACCACAATACCTTATCAGAGCCAAAACAAATATGGTCGCACACCTGTAATCCCAACACTTTGAGAGACTGAGGCGGGCAGATCGCCTGAGGCCAGAAGTTCAAGACCAGCCTGGCCAACATGGTGAAACCCCTGTGTCTACTAAAAATACAAAAATTAGCTAGGCATGGTGGCGGGTACCTGTAATCCCAGCTACTCGGGAGGCTGAGGCAGGAGAATCACTTGAACCAGGGAGGTGGAGGTTGCAGTGAGCCGAGATTGCGCCACTGCACTCCAGCCTGGGCAACAGAGCAAGACTCTGTCTTTAAAAAAAAAATTAATTAATTAATTAATTTAAAAAACTACTTACTATCGTTTAATACCTATCAGTGTTCATATTTCCCCCACTTGTCAAAAATATCTTGTTATTCAGCAGCAAAGCAGAAGAGAAAAAGAAAAAATAAGATCAGATGTGGTGGCTGATGCCTGTAGTCCCAGCACTTTGGGAGGCCAAGGTGGGAGGATCACTGGAGCTCAGGAGTTTGAGACCAGCCTGGGTACAATAGCGAGACTCAGTCTCTACAAAAAAAAAATTTGTTTAAAAATTAGCAAGGTGTGTTGATGTTCACCTATAGTCCCAGCTATTCAGAAGGCTGAAGTGAGAAAATTGCTTGAGCCCCAGAAGTTGCGGCTGCAGCGAGCTGTGACCATACCACTGCATTCCAGTCTGCTGCACCGAGTGAGACCATGTCTCAAAAAAAAAAAAAAAAAAAAAAAAAAAAGAAAGAAAGAAAAATGCCTTTTTACAGCTGGTTTATTCAAGTCAAGATCCAAAAAAGATACGCACACATGTTTAACTAGCATATTTCTTAAATGTCTTTAAATCTATACCTAGATCAGTGCCATTTTTTCATGTCATTTAGCTGTTGAACGAACCAGGTACTGTGTCCTGCGGCATATCCTACCTTCTGGGTTTGACTGATTGAATCTTTGTGGATGTCCCTCTGCCTCTGTCTTTCCTGAACTCTGGTAGTTGAGATCAGGACTGGAGATTTCTTAGGCAGGAAGAATCCATAGGTGGGTACTTCCTATCGCACCTCGAAGGAGACACAAAGTGTCCAGCTGTCCCACTTTTACTGGTGTTAAACTTCATCCACCAGATAGTGCACCCATTATAAAATTCTGTCCACTAATGATTTGTGCTGAGATCCACTTCTCATTAGGGGCTGCCAAGTAGTGCTTTTCTATCATTCTTTCTGCACTTGTTAGCCGAAGGTTCTCTGTCGTGAAGATATTTCCCTTGTCAACTATTTGGCTTGGATGGAAAGGCTGGATCAATGTTTGATTCTTTATTTTTCATCTTCATAATAATGAGCTAGCTCCTCGGCACCCCGGGGGAAGTTGTCTTCAAATGCTGCCTTGAAGCATAGAATATTTAATTCTAATGGATATGGGAGGGAAGGGCCTTCCAAGCCGAGGGAAGAGCTTGAGCAAAGGCTCAGAGGCAGGAGAATGCAGGGTGTTTAGAGAACAGCAGAGCTCCGTAGCACGTGCAACAAGAGGCTTTTTGAGTGAGGACCCTGAGCACGATATGGTGGGAAAGCAGGGGAGAGGTCAGGATTGCTGGTTTGACTCCCAGCCATGGGCAAAAGGTTCTCCCCTTGTCTATACAATGAGGACATCTCTCTAGATCAGTGGCTTTCCAACGTTTCTGGCCCCAGTTCACTTTAATAAATACATTTTATACTCTGACCCAGTAAGTGCATCTGTGTGTATAAAAACCAACAGAAATTTCAAAAAGAACTCAGTTGACTTTTACATACAATGTATGTGGGTCTATTCTATTCTATTTCATTCAGTGTCATCCTGTTGAAATAAATGTTGGTTATGACCACTGAATTGAACTCAGTCTCACAGATTGTCGGCAACCTTAGTCTGGGTGGCTCCTGGGGCTCTATTTCCACTCCAGCCCTTTCTGGTTGATCCCTGGTCTTGGTGACAACCTGACGCAGCACCAGGCTCTGGAGAAGAGGGACAACATGAGAAGAGAAGCTGATCACTTGCAGGAGGCTCCTGAGCTGAACATGAGGCAAAAGCCAGGCCAAACTCAGAGGCTGTGGCCCCAGCCAGGCCACCCTCACCTTCAGAGTCTTGACCCCCCAGACCACACTACCGGACACCTGCTGGCCCTGTTTCCACAACAGACTGGCTCAGCCACACCCAGGCCCACAGGGCTCAGAGGCCTGCTCCCTGTTGATCGTGTCAACTTTGAAAGGCCTTCAAGTTTATCCCTAAACAAAGCCCTCCAGTTTAGCCCTAAAGAGCCAGGTGTTAACCTAACAGGAAGCAATTTGGAAGGTCAAAGTCAAGTAGACGGAGAAGAGTGTTGAGAGTCCTGGGGTGACAACACCTGGGTCCCCTGCTCACCTGAGCCACAGACTCGCCAGGTAACTGGGCCAGCGTCCCTCCTGCCCACGCCTTGCTTGCCGCACTCTTAAAGAAGATGCATCCCCTTCTCTTGGAGGGAATGACAATGACCAGATCACAACTGAGCTGAGCAATTTGGGGAAATTTGGGCAGGGGGTAGAGTTGGCAGAACTGGTTTGTAAACAGGGCTCTGGAAGACCTTCCTCTAACTGTGGGGAGTGGGGGAGGGGTTTCTCTCCCTCTTAGGCACTCTCTTCTCTGCTGTTTTCTCTATTTCTCTCTTCGCTGTCACTCCCATTACCGTCCTCATCTTATCTCCCCCTTTTCTCTCCTTCTCTCTCTCTCTGTTTAATAACAGCTTTATTGAGAGATAATTTACAGGATGTGAGATTTACCCTTTTGTACAATTCACCATGTGTACATTTCAGTGTTGTTCAGTGTATTCACAGGGTTGCAGAACCATCACTGCTGTCTTATTTTATTTTTTTGGCACTTTTTGGTAGAGACAGGGTTTTGCCACGTTGGCCAGGCTAGTCTCAAACTCCTGACCTCAAATGATCTGCCCGCCTCGGCCTCCCAAAGTGCTGGGATTACAGGTGTGAGCCACTGCGCCTGGCCACCTCTGTCTAATTTCAGAACATGTTTGTTATGCCCCAAATAAACTCTGACCCATCAGCAGTCACTGCCTGGTCCACACATCTCACCAGCCCCTGGCAACCACTAATATACTTTCTGTCTTGATGGATTTGTCTATTCTAAACATTTCATATAAATGGAATCATACAATACACGGCCTTTTGTGAGTGGCTTCTTTCACTTAGCATGTTTTCAAGTTTCATTGTTGTTGTGGCATGCATCTGTACTTCATTCCTTTTTATGGCTGAGTAATATCCCATTATATGGATATACCAGATTTAGTTTTAGCCATTCATCAGTTGAAGGGCATTTGAATTGTTTCTACTATTTGGCTATTATGAATAACACTGCTATGAATATTCATTGATAGGTTTTTGTGTGAACATGTGTTTTTAATTCTCCTAACTACAGGCTCAGAAGTAGGGTTTCTGGGTCATATGGCAACTCTATGTTTACATTCTGAGAAACTGTCAAATTGTTTTTCTTTTTTTTCTTTTTTTTTTTTATTCTTTTCTGCTGCCACCTCATCTCCCCAAATTGATTTTCAAAGTGGCTGCACCATTTTGCAATTCCACCAGCAGTGTATGAGGGTTCCAATTTCTCCACACCCTCAGCAACACTTCAACACTTGCTTTTTTTTTTTTTTTTTTTGAGATGGGGTCTCGCTCTGTCGCCAGGCTGGAGTGCAGTGGCGTGATCTCAGCTCACTGCGACCTCTGCCTCCTGGGTTCAAGAGATTCTCGTGCCTCAGCCTCCTGAGTAGCTGGGACTACAGGTGCATGCCACCACACCCAGCTAATTTTTGTATTTTTAGTAGAGACGGGTTTCACTATGCTGGCCAGGATGGTCTCAAACTCCTGAACTCGTCATCCACCCATCTCAGTGTTCCCAAGTGCCGTGATTACAGGTGTGAGCCACCCCACCCAGCCAACACTTGCTGTTTTATTTTTTATCTTAGCCGTCCTACTGGATGTGGGGTGGTATCTCATTGTGGTTTGGATTTGCATTTCCTTATGATTAATGATGTTGAGTATCTTTCATGCTCACTGGCCACTTGTGTATCTTCTTTGGAGAAATGTCTATTTAAATCCTTTGTCCAGTTTTAAATTTGATTGACTTATTTTTATTTATTTATTTATTTTGGAGGCAGAGTCTTGCTCTGTTGCCCAGGCTGGAGTGCAGTTGTGCAATCTTGGCTCACTGCAACCTCCACCTCCTGGGTTCAAGCAATTCTCCTGCCTCAGCCTCCTGAGTAGCTGGGACTATAGGTGCATGCTACCAAGCCCAGCTAATTTTTGTGTTTTTAGTAGAGACGGGTTTCACCATGTTGGCCAGGCTGGTGTTGAACTCCTGGCCTCAAGTGATCTGCCTGCCTTGGTCTCCCAAAGTGCTGGGATTACAGGCATGAGCCACCGCACCCAGCCAGTTTCAGCTCTTACATTTAGGTCTATGGTCCATTTTGAGTTAATATTTGTATATGGTTTGAGGTAGGAGTCCAAATGCATTCTTTTGCATGTGCTTATCCAGTTGTCTAAGCACCATTTGTTAAATCTATCTTTTCTTTTCCTTTTTTTTTTTTTTTTTTTTTTTTTGAGACAGGGTCTTGCTCTGTCACCCAGGCTGAAGTGCGCTGGTGTGATCATGGCTCACTTCAGCTTCCTGCGTCTGGGCTCAAGTGATCTCCTGTCTCAGCCTCCTGGGTAGCTGGGACTACAGGCGTGCACCACCATACCTGGCTAATTTTAATCTTTTTTTTTTTTTTTAATGTTCCTTTTTCTCCAGGCAGCTGCTCCCAACCCCAGAACCTTTGCTGTCTTGGGACGGATCACCGCTGCAAGAGGGGAAGTTGCTACTGTGATGAATTCTGCCATGTGGCACCAGACTGCCACCCAGACCACAGTGTCCTCTGCAACCCTGGTAACTCACATACAGGCCCGATTCCACCTACAGCAAAGCTGGATGCGATGGCTGGCAGAGGCAAACCCTTTGCCTGCACTTCAGGCCAAAGCCGGGATGTGGCCTAGATGGTTCCTAAGGTCCCTGACAATCCTGAGATCTTGCATCTTGTCTATTTCAGGTCAAAGGTGCCTACATGCTCCTTCTAGCTTTGTTTCCCTGATGTTCCTTGCCACCTGCTACTCCTCTCTGAGCTACTTTTCCAGGTTCCACAGGGAGAGGTTCAGCTGTCCGTGGTAGACATGAGGGTAGAGAATGAGGTGGTTGGGTTCCACTTACCTTTCTATCATCTTGCAGTATGGATGTCTCTTGACTGGTACCGTGTAGACTTTTGAGGGCACACAGGAGTCTGCAGAGAGATACTGGGGACATTGAGCAGCAGCAGTGGGGTTGGGAGGCAGAAATGAGGACAGGAACATTTACCTTGTGTTTCTCTCAGCTTCTCAGATGACCAAGATGGTGCTGCAGATGGTGCTGAGGATGGAGAACCCACCAAGCCCCGCTAGGAGCCACCTAGACTGGATGCAGAGCATGGTGAGCTCCCTGCAGGTTCTCTGAGAAGGGGTGGATGGCAGCCTGCTCCTTGCCTTTGTGCCCTCCAGGCCCCAAAGTCAGGGAACCAAAAGAAGAAAGGGGCCGTAGCTAGGGCAGAGCTCCACTGCAATGATTGTTTTAGGGGTAGGAGCCAGGATTGCCGTCTGTGGACACTGAAATTTGAATCTCATATACTTTTGTGACAAAACATTCTTCCTCTTTTGTTCTTCTCCTACCATCTAAAAATGTAGAAAACATTCTTAGCCTATGAGTTGCACAAAAACAGGCAGTGGCCAGATTTGGCCCATAGACCATAGTTTGCTGACTTCTGCCCTAAATCATCCTCCATTTCTTTCCTTCTGTGTCCTTGTTACTGACAAAGCCACTTTCCCTAAAATGGGGTCTTTCCCTGTTTGGTGCCATGAAGCCAATATGCAAAACCGAAAGTGAGCCTCAAGCAGTGCAGGCTTTATTTGGTGGCCATGGAATTGAGAAGTGAGAGCTTGGCTCACAAATCAACTTTTCTGCTCGTGAGACCCAGGAAGTCACAGATACAGGGCATCTTTAGTGAAGGGGCTGAGCATTAAAAGCAAGGGGAGGAGTGGCCAGGTGCAATGGCTCACTCCCATAAACCCAGAACTTTGGGAGGCCAAAATGAGAGGATTGCTGAGACCAGGAGTTCGAGACCATCCTGGTCAACATAGTGATACACCCCCATCTCTACAAAAATAAAAATGAAAAAAGCAAGGGGAGGAATCATGTGTTTTCTGGGTCTGGGTGGAGAAATTTTCAAAACCAGAGTGCCACCTTCCTATTTGTTTTTTTATGTTATTTTTTCCCATCATTGTCATGTTGGTTGTTGACTGTTACGGTGTTAGTGGGACTGTCATTTAACATGGAAATTAGATTATAATGAAGTTAGAGGTCAAATGAGCTGCCATCTTGGATTCCATCAGTCTTAGCTGGTTTGATCACCAGGGAGAAGTTTGGACCTCAGGCATCCTGCTTCCTAAAGATAAACAGTGTTAAGGCAGGGTAGATATTCACGGAGGTCATGTGGGTATTGCACTGGATGACATCTTGGCTTCAGCCCTGATCTGTTCAGAGCCCTCAGCACGGTACTGGAGGAGAGGCCTTGGGCCGCATCGTGGCATATTGTGGCTTTGGGGAGAAAGAAAAGCAGATAGTGCAATGGAAAGAGCGTGGACTTGAGAGTCAGACTTGACTTCAACTCCTAGCTCTACCACTTACCACCTAGGTGACCTCAAGCCACTTTCTCAGCCTTTCTGAGACTCTGTATCCTCATGTGTATCCTAGAGTTTGTCTGATAGGGCTATAGTGAGAATTAATTGAATTAAGTATAGTGAGAATTAAGCCAGGTCTGGAGAGGCCTGGCTACTGGTGAGTGAGGTAACTGAGATCAGGTATGGAGAGGACTGGCTCCTGGTGAGTGAGTTAATTGAGATGAGGTATGGAGGGACCTGTCTCCTGGTGACTGAGTTAATTGAGATGAGGTGTGGAGGGACCTGGCTCCTGGTGAGTGAGTTAATTGAGATCCATTAGGGAGGGACCTGGCTCCTGGCGAGTGAGTTAATTGACACCCGGTATGGAGGGACCTGGCTCCTGGCGAGTGATTTAATTGAGACCCGGTGTGGAGGGACTTGGCTCCTGGTGAGTGAGTGAATTGAGATGAGGTATGGAGGGACCTGTCTCCTGGTGAGTGAGTTAATTGAGATGAGGTGTGGAGGGACCTGTCTCCTGGTGAGTGAGTTAATTGAGATGAGGTGTGGAGGGACCCGGCTCCTGGTGAGTGAGTTAATTGAGACTCGGTGTGGAGGGACTTGGCTCCTGGTGAGTGAGTGAATTGAGATGAGGTATGGAGGGACCTGGCTCCTGGTGAGTGAGTGAATTGAGATGAGGTGTGGAGGGACCTGTCTCCTGGTGAGTGAGTTAATTGAGATGAGGTATGGAGGGACCTGTCTCCTGGTGAGTGAGTTAATTGAGATCAGGTATGGAGGGACTTGGCTCCTGGTGAGTGAGTTAATTGAGACTCTGTGTGGAGGGACCTGGCTCCTGGTGAGTGAGTTAATTGAGATGAGGTATGGAGGGACCTGGCTCCTGGTGAGTGAGTTAATTGAGATCAGGTATGGAGGGACCTGGCTCCTGGTGAGTGAGTTAATTGAGATGAGGTGTGGAGGGACCTGGCTCCTGGTGAGTGAGTTAATTGAGATGAGGTATGGAGGGACCTGGCTCCTGGTGAGTGAGTTAATTGAGATCAGGTATGGAGGGACCTGGCTCCTGGTGAGTGAGTTAATTGAGATGAGGTATGGAGGGACCTGGCTCCTGGTGAGTGAGTGAATTGAGATCAGGTATGGAGGGACTTGGCTCCTGGTGAGTGAGTTAATTGAGACTCTGTGTGGAGGGACCTGGCTCCTGGTGAGTGAGTTAATTGAGATGAGGTATGGAGGGACCTGGCTGCTGGTGAGTGAGGTATGGAGGGACCTGGCTCCTGGTGAGTGAGTTAATTGAGGTCAGGTATGGAGGGACCTGGCTCCTGGTGAGTGAGTTAATTGAGATCAGTTATGGAGGGACCTGGCTCCTGGTGAGTGAGTTAATTGAGATGAGGTATGGAGGGACCTGGCTCCTGGTGAGTCTCCTGGAGGCAGCTGCTATCTGGGAACACAGGCACAGGTGGGAACAGACCTTCACTTCCTGCTCACTTAGGTTCAGTGAGTTCTCCAAACCAGCCTCCCAGGAATGCCATTCAACATGGCTGTGAGGAGAATAAAGAAGAGAGCCTGACTCCTCTCCTGAGGCCCCTTCCCCACCCTGAGCCAGCAGGATCCACGGAGCAGAGGTCATCTGTCCCCAGCTTGGCCCACTGAGGCCAGCATGGCTGGGCCCAGGATGCTTGTCTCTCAGCTCCCATCCTGTGTACTTCCACATTGGTTTAACCAGAGGAAAACCGAAATCTACAATTGTCATAAACACATTTAAATGTGCGTAGAATCAGCCATACAAATTGTGAAACATACATTTGGCTCATGGTATTATTCACTGTTTTGTGGTGGTTACAGTGACTATAGCAAACATTTCTTGAAAGTAGAAAATAAGAACCCAGCACCCCTTGAGCTAAGTAATGTGCCCTCTGTCCTCAATATTCCTTCCTGGGCTCCACATTACTGCCCTTAAGTCTGGAAATATTCTGGTCTGAGCCCCGTAGTCCAGGCCTCATGTTCAGGCTTTCTGTCCCCAGTGATGAGAGGAGAGACGGCAGACCTGTCTCCGGTGAGCTCAGATGGGCCTCCCGGAGTCTCCTGGGGTGCACAGGATTTCAAAGATCCAGGAGGCGCTGCCAGGGGCTGTGAGGTCTGATGAACCTCTCACCTTCCCTCCCACACCTGCCCTTTTCCTGTTTCTGTGGATGCTTTTGCTGTCCTTGGCTTCCTGGACTCCAGACCTCAGGGTCATCTTTTGCTTCTCTCTGCAAGGTGCCAAGTCTCTCTAGGTTTTTGTTTGTTTGTTTTGTTATTGAGACGGAGTCTCACTCTATTGCCCAGGCTGGAGTGCAGTGGTGCGATCTCAGCTCACTGCAACTTCCGACTCCCTGGTTCAAGCAAATTCTCCTGCCTCAGCCTCTGGAGTAGCTGGGATTACAGGCGCCCGCCACCACGCCTGGCTATTTTTTTTTTTTTCTAGTAGAGATAGGGTTTCACCATGTTGGCCAGGCTGGTCTCGATCTCCTGACCTCATGATCCACCCGCCTTGGCCTCCCAAAGTGCTGGGATTACAGGAGTGAGCCACTGTGCCCGGCCGTCTCTCTAGTTTTACTTTGCAATGTCGTTCATATCCATCCCCTTTCTAGTGCCACTGCTGAAGTCCTAAGTCACTGCCTCCTAACTGGTCCTCCTGCCCTAACTCCTCCCTGACCAGTCCTCCAGCCCTAAGTCTCCTCCCTGACCTGTCCTCCTGCCCTAACTCCTCCCTGACCGGTCCTCCTGCCCTAACTCCTCCCTGACCGGTCCTCCTGCCCTAACTCCTCCCTGACCGATCCTCCTGCCCTAACTCCTCCCTGACCTGTCCTACTGCCCTAACTCCTCCCTGACCGGTCCTCCTGCCCTAACTCCTCCCTGACCAGTCCTCCTGCCCTAAGTCTCCTCCCTGACCGGTCCTCCTGCCCTAAGTCTCCTCCCTGACCTGTCCTCCTGCCCTAACTCCTCCCTGACCAGTCCTCCTGCCCTAACTCCTCCCTGACCGGTCCTCCAGCCCTAACTCCTCCCTGACCAGTCCTCCTGCCCTAAGTCTCCTCCCTGACCGGTCCTCCTGCCCTAACTCCTCCCTGACCGGTCCTCCTGCCCTAACTCCTCCCTGACCGGTCCTCCAGCCCTAACTCCTCCCTGACCGGTCCTCCTGCCCTAACTCCTCCCTGACCGGTCCTCCAGCCCTAACTCCTCCCTGACCAGTCCTCCTCCCCTAACTCCTCCCTGACCCGTCCTCCTGCCCTAACTCCTCCCTGACCTGTCCTCCAGCCCTAACTCCTCCCTGACCAGTCCTCCAGCCCTAACTCCTCCCTGACCGGTCCTACTGCCCTAACTCCTCCCTGACCGGTCCTCCTGCCCTAACTCCTCCCTGACCAGTCCTCCTGCCCTAAGTCTCCTCCCTGACCGGTCCTCCTGCCCTAAGTCTCCTCCCTGACCTGTCCTCCTGCCCTAACTCCTCCCTGACCAGTCCTCCTGCCCTAACTCCTCCCTGACCGGTCCTCCTGCCCTAACTCCTCCCTGACGAATCCCCCTGCCCTAAGTCTCCTCCCTGACCGGTCCTCCTGCCCTAACTCCTCCCTGACCGGTCCTCCTGCCCTAACTCCTCCCTGACCAGTCCTCCTGCCCTAAGTCTCCTCCCTGACCGGTCCTCCTGCCCTAACTCCTCCCTGACCGGTCCTCCTGCCCTAACTCCTCCCTGACCAATCCCCCTGCCCTAACTCCTCCCTGACCAATCCCCCTGCCCTAACTCCTCCCTGACCGGTCCTCCTCCCCTAACTCCTCCCTGACCTGTCCTCCTGCCCTAACTCCTCCCTGACCGGTCCTCCAGCCCTAACTCCTCCCTGACCCGTCCTCCAGCCCTAACTCCTCCCTGACCTGTCCTCCTGCCCTAAGTCTCCTCCCTGACCAGTCCTCCTGCCCTAAGTCTCCTCCCTGACCGGTCCTCCTGCCCTAAGTCTCCTCCCTGACCGGTCCTCCTGCCCTAAGTCTCCTCCCTGACCAGTCCTCCTGCCCTAACTCCTCCCTGACCGGTCCTCCAGCCCTAACTCCTCCCTGACCGGTCCTCCTGCCCTAAGTCTCCTCCCTGACCCGTCCTCCAGCCCTAACTCCTCCCTGACCGGTCCTCCTGCCCTAAGTCTCCTCCCTGACCGGTCCTCCTGCCCTAAGTCTCCTCCCTGACCGGTCCTCCTGCCCTAAGTCTCCTCCCTGACCAGTACTCCTGCCCTAAGTCTCCTCCCTGACCGGTCCTCCTGCCCTAAGTCTCCTCCCTGACTGGTCCTCCTGCCCTAAGTCTCCTCCCTGACTGGTCCTCCTGCCCTAACTCCTCCCTGACTGGCCTCCATCCAAGCAGAGCTTGAGTATTGCTGGTTCCCTGCTCAAACCCACCACTGGTTGCTGGTTCCCTGCTCAAACCCACCACTGGCACTGGCTTCCCATCACATACAGAATAAAGGCTAAATGTCTGTGCTTGGCACAGAAAGTCATCAACAGGCCCCAGAGCACGTTTCTGGTGTTATCTTCTGCTAATGCCCTGCCCTCACTCCTATGCTGCAGCTGAATGGAACGAGCCATTATCCCCTCAGGAACGCTGGCTTCTCAGTAAACGATTATAGCCCAGAAGCTCTGTCATCACAGAACCTAGCTATTGGCTAATGGGTCAGCTTTGGCTTCATTTCTCTGAATAATTTATTTCAAAACATAATCCCAAGGAACAAGGTTAGGAAAAGGGGAGGGTGACAGGGACAGAGGGAGAGCCTATGCAAAGACGTGTTATCCAGTTGGCCCCTGCTGTGGCTGGCTGGTTGCTCAATCCTGTAAGATCTTCTAAGAAGCTTTATGAGATGTAGTGAGAACCACCTGTCCTGGGGATGAGTCTGTCTGTCGGCTTCCATTCCTCATGGGTTATGAGTTGCTCCACAGGATTCTGGATGTATACAGATGCTCTTCATCTTAGGAAGGGGTTACGTCCCAATAAACACGTGGTAAGTCAAAAATACTGTAAGTCAGAAACACATTTAATACCCTGATAAGCCCATCATAAAGTCAAACAATTTTAAATCCAATCATTGTAAGCCAGGACCATCTGTATACCCAAGACATACACAAGGATGTTCATAGCAGCTTTATTCAAAATAGTGAAAAACAAAACAATCCAAATGCACAGCAATAGGAAAACAGACAAATAAATTGTGGTATATTTATACAGTGGAATACTATGCAACAACAAAAAAGGATGAAGCATAATACTACACACAGCGTGAGTGAGTCTCACAGACACAGTGTTAACAGAGAGAATCCAGACACAAAAGAGCCTATCTATGCATGATTCCATTTATATGAAGTTCAAAGACATGCAGAGCTAATCTATGGTGATAGAGATAAGAATGGTGGTTACACTGAAATGGGAGGATCGCTCAAACCCGGGAGGCGGAGGCTGCAGTGAACCATGATGGAGCTGCACTCCAGCTTTGGAGACAGAGCGAGACCCTGTCTCTAAAAAAAAAAAAAAAATGATTGTTCCATTCTGTGGTGGCAAGTGGGGGCTTGACTGGAAGGGAACACAAGGGCACCTGTTGAGGTGCTGAGCACGTTCTGTATCTTGACCTGAGTGTCGGATACATCCTGGGGATACATACGTACATAAAAATTCATCAGGGTATACGCTACTTAAGCTGGGCGTAGTTTACAGTATGTAGGTTACAACATAAAAAAGAAGTGAATGAACCAAAGAATACTGGGCTCCCTGGCGTTTCCTCTTCTGCAACCCAAGGAAATAAGCCTCGGTGTGGAGAGGGCCTGTCCTCAGGGCCTGGCAGATGTAGGCGATTCTTACCACGTCTCCTTCGGTAAGCCCACCTGGCAAGTTCTCATCCACATAATCTGTGCATGCTCAACATTTGAAACCAGTGGGGACCCATTCGGACCCCAAGAGTTGGTATTAGAGATCATTTTAAAGTGAAAACTGGCCAGGCACGATGGCTTACACCTGTAATCCCAGCACTTTGGGAGGCTGAGGTGGGCGGATCACATGAGGTCAGGAGTTCGAGACCAACTTGGCCAACATGGTGAAACCCTGTTGACTCAGGATGACTCAGATTAGAGCAGGTGACTGGGGGTGACTCAGGATGGAGCAGGTGATAGAGGCTAGGAGGGGGTTGTTTACTGAAACTAGGGGCAAGGAGATGAAGAAAACGAGGAAGTTAAACTTTAAAATGAAGAGCTGAACATACTGATACATTGATTCTTTGGAGAGGATCTCAGAACTCATTGTACTTAACAATTTACAGGCTAAAACCTTTGAAGAAGAATTTATTATATCCTACAAACCTGGGAGGCAGAGGTTGCAGTGAGCCAAGATTGGGCCATCGCACTCCAGCCTGGGCAATAAGAATGAAACTCTGTCTCAAAAAAAACAAAAGTTGGCCAGGGCTGGGCGTGGTGGCTCACACCTGTAATCCCAGCACTTTGGGAGGCTAAAGCAGGTGGATCACCTGAGGTCAGAAGTACGAGACCATCGTGGCTAATATGGTGAAACCCCATCTCTACTCAAAATACGAAAAAAGAAAAAAAAAATTAGCCAAGCACGGTGGTGCACGCCTGTTATCCCAGCTGCTTAGGAAGCTGAGGCAGGAGAATTGCCTGATCCCAGAGGCAGAGGTTGCAGTGAACTGGGATTGTGCCACTGCACTCCAGCCTAGGCGACAGAGCAAGATTCTGTCTCAAAAATAAATACATAAATAAAGTTTTAGAGCAGGAATGAAAGGAAGTAAAGTACACTTGGAAGAGCTGTGTTGGCAACTGGAGAGATCCGAGTGCCTCATCTGACCCTTGACTTGGGATTAATACATTGGCATGAGATGTGAGCAGTGACTCAAAGTTGCTCAGAAAAAAATCTTCCCCCGCTATTTAGTACTGCAGCTGGCACCTGCCCTCCCCACGCACTGCAGCTGGCACCTGCCCTCCCCACACCAGTATTTGGTACTGCAGCTGGCACCTGCCCTCCCCTCTGCTATTTAGTACTGCAGCTGGCACCTGCCCTCCACACAGCAGTATTTAGTACTGCAGCTGGCACCTGCCCTCCCCACACCAGTATTTAGTACTGCAGCTGGCACCTGCCCTCCCCACACCAGTATTTAGTACTGCAGCTGGCACCTGCCCTCCCCACGTCAGTGTTCAGGATTCTTTCTCTCTGTTTTTCTTTTTTTTCCATAGTTTTCACCTTTCTATAATTCACTTATTTGTTATGTTTATTGTTTTGTGAAAGGAAAATAAATCTTGGGCCCCCAAAATCACTAAGCTAAAGGGGAAAGTCAAGCCGGGAATGGCTTAGGGCCGACCTGCCCCCCATTCTATTCAAAATCACCCCCTGCTCACTGAGATAGATGCATATCTGATTGCCTTCTTTGGAAAGGCCCATCAGAAACTCAAAAGAATGCGACCTTTGTCTCTCACCCACCTGTGACCTGGAAGCTTTCTCCTGGCTGCGAGTTGTCCCACATTTGCTTGGCGTTGCCCGGCCTTTTCCAGACTGAACCAATGTTCATCTTACATGTGTTGATTGATGTCTCATGTCTCCCTAAAACGTATGACCACCTTGGCACATGTCGTCAGGACATCCTGAGGCTGTGTCACGGGTGTGCATCTTCAACCTTGGAACAATAAACTTTCTAAATTAACTGAGACCTGTCTCAGATTTGGGGGGTTCACATTTTGGTAACCATGGAGGGATTCTGAGTTGAGGTACCCCTGACCTTTGACAGATCTATTGGTGCTTGGTAGCACCATGAGCTAACCTTATGGCTCAAACCAACAGGACAATTTGCTGAGGTCTGGGAGCACCCCCTCCATAGAGTCCCTGATCTCTCAAAACTTGGTCGTGATCTAAAGTTTATTTGATGTACAACTCCCCCTCTCCTTCTTTTGGAGTTTTATTTGCTTCCAAGAAGGAAGGCAAGATTTCCTGGGTCCGTGATGATGGAAGGCTGACAACTCTTTTATGGAGTTTGAGCTTGCTCCCAGCAGGGAAGACAAGTTCGAGTTTTTTTCCTGCTTCAAGGATGGTAGAGAGCAGTCTTCAGCCTGAGACCCATCCCTAGGTAAGTAGCTGAACTGAGGTTTTGTCTTGGCTGAAGGTTAACAACCAGCTGGTCTGAATTTCTTCTTCCCATTAGAGCAGTCTGTGGTCATATCATTTGACTTTTGTTGTTGTTGTTTTTTCTGGTCTTTCTCTCATCAGATTTGACCAACTCTACCTGACTTGGTCAAATCCAAGTGAGAATTCCAAATTATGGGTAACAAAGCCTCTCTAATTTGGCTAAAATTCCTTGCAGCTGCAAAAGAGGAAAAAACTAAACGAAAACAACAAATCACGTGCTTGGTTTCTGTGTTTGCTTTCTGTCTTAAAAAACAAACAAACAAAAACAACAAATGCTCTTTCACTTACTTTTCTTCCTCCCTATACCTCCTCCTGCCTTTGCCATCTGCGGGACCAAAAAAATCTAGAGAAGGCTTCCAATGACTCGAGCCCCTTTAAAGGATCCGGAACAAAGGGGCCACTCACCCCTTCCAGGGTGCTCTGTTTTCTTTGTGGAGTTTCAAGAGTGATGGGCGGATTCTTCTTAGGTCTAAAGCTCTGCTGTCTTCCTGTACGGCATGACCTGACCTCTTTGGCTTTGGGGGAACCAGAGATGACCCTGCACTGTGAGAGGATTTGACCTTGGCGTGTGTAATGGCAGACGAGAACTACAAAGAAGGGGTGGCTGAGCACAGTTTACAGGGAATGGTCTTGGCTGTTTTTTTGTTTTTTTTTTTTTCTCTTCTAGGAAGCTGTGATTTAAGGATCCTAATTCTAGTTCAGAGATGCATCCTAAAGGGTCTTCTCTATTGCTTTTTCTCCCAAAATGAATCTCAGTTTGGGTTGTCTATGTATTTGCATGAGGAACTGAACTGTTGTTGTCATAGGTAAATGAGAGATTGAGTTTTCTCAGCTCCAAAGAGAAAGGGCGTTTGCTCCTCCCAGCCGAGTACTCCATAGGGTTCATGGCGCCTCTACTTGCCAGAGTTTATGTAAAGTGGAAGTAATATGGTCTTTCTGCACATTTACATTAAAAAAAAAGGAGCCCTGAGGTTGACCTGCAAACTGTAGAGTTCCTGAGTCCTCTTTTTTCTCTAGTTTCTTCTCTGCCTGCTTTAAATTTGCTGTTATTTTTCTATTAAGATAAAAAACACTGTTTGGATCAGATAGTTTTTCTGTTTGTAAACTGGTGAATTTGTATTTATTTCATGGCTAAATTTCTTTTTTTCTTTTCTTTCTCTTTTTTTTTTTTCTTTTTTTTTTTTTGAGGCAGAGTTTCACTCTTGTTGCCCAGGCTGGAGTGCAATGGCGTGATCTTGGGTCACCACAGTCTCCTCTTCCCTGGTTCAAGTGATTCTCTTGCCTCAGCCTCCCGAGTAGCTGGGATTACAGGCATGCACCACCATGCCTGGCTAATTTTTTGTATTTTTAGTAGAGATGGGGTTTCTCCATGTTCGTCAGGCTGGTCTCCAACTCCTGACCTCAGGTGATCTGCCCGCCTCGGCCTCCCAAGGTGCTGGGATTACAGGCGTGAGTCACCGCGCCCAGCTTTCATGGCTAAATTTCTGAAGTAAAAGCTATAGGATCTTTGTGTGTGTGTATATATTTAAAAGGCCTTTATAATTTCTATAATTTTATGTTTAATTGGCAATTAAATCTGTTTTAATTTCCCTCCAGCACACCAGACTTTTTCTCTCCATACGTTATGATGTAAATTTTGCTATTCGATTTTCACCTCAGTTTCCTTAAAATGCAAATTCAAGGCTATTTAGCTGACAACCGCTTAGAGTAGTAAAACAGGTTATCAAGAATTCGAAGGTGTGGCTGGGCACGGTGGCTCACGTCTGTAATCCTAGCATTTGGGAGGCTGAGCCGCAAAGATCTCTTGAGGTCAGGAGTTCAAAACCATCTTGGCCAACATGTTGAAACCCCGTCTCTACTAAAAATACAAAAAAAATTAGCCAGATGTGGTGGCAGGTGCCTATAATCCCAGCTACTCAGGAAGCTGAGGCAGGAGAATCACTTGAAGCCAGGAGGCAGAGTTTGCAGTGAGTCGAGATCAAGCCATTGCACTCCAGCCTGGGCAACAGAGTGAGACTCTGTCTCAAAAAAAAAAAAAAAAAAAGTAAAAAAGAATTTGAAGGTGTAAGAAAAAAGCTCTTTATGAATCTATAAGATGAACTTCTTTCAGCATACCTAATACATCTGTGTATTTATGTGTTGTTGTGTACACAGTGTTTTGCTACTGAAAATATATAAAAGAGCTCTAATTAATTGGCTTAAGAAAATAAAAGCACTTGGCTGGGTGCAGTGGCTCATGCCTGTACTCCCAGCACTTTGGGAGGCTGAGGTAGGTAGATCACCTGAGGTCAGGAGTTTGAGACTAGCCTGGCCAACATGGTGAAACCCCATCTCTACTAAAAATACAAAAATTAGCCCGACGTGGTGGTGCGCGCCTATAATCCCAGCTACTCCAGAGGCTGAGGCAGGAGAATTGTTGGATCCCGGGAGGAAGAGGTTTCATTGAGCTGAGATCTCATTACTGTACACTCCAGCCTGGGTGACAGAGCAAGACTCCATCTCAAAAAAAAAAAAAGAAGCTAGTGATTCCATATCTTCAAATCAAATTTCAGTGGAGTGTTTACCGGGCAAGGAAGGCAGGGGGGTCAGCTTGCTGACAGCCTCAACCTGCCAGCCCTCAGCCTGCACATTTGTGATCACCTGGTCACACACCTGGGCAGGAGGCTGCCCCTCCTCCCTGGTTTGAGGAAGCAGGAAAAGGTACCCGCGAGAGACAGCCAGCAGTTCTGTGGAGCAGCGGTGGCCGGCTAGGATGGGCTGTCTCTGGGGTCTGGCTCTGCCCCTTTTCTTCTTCTGCTGGGAGGTTGGGGTCTCTGGGAGCTCTGCAGGTAAGGAGGCCTAGAAGGGCCTGGTGGGCCTCTCCCCTAGTAGGGCTCTGGGAGTGAATTTCAGTATGAGCCACCCTTCATGGGCAAGGGCAGGCTCTCTCGGGTTGATTATAATGAACCACAGTGCTACTTGTGAAGTGCTATTATTGTTGATAAAGAGTGTGCAAATGACAGTGTGAGTGTAAGCGTGCATGGCGCTGCAGTACACACTAATCAACCATGACGATGTGTGTGAGTGTA
Source organism: Homo sapiens (assembly GCF_000001405.40). Taxonomy (NCBI): domain Eukaryota; kingdom Metazoa; phylum Chordata; class Mammalia; order Primates; family Hominidae; genus Homo; species Homo sapiens. The sequence goes on from NT_187689.1 coordinate 91,821, forward strand.
AGCGTGCCTGGCGCTGCAGTACACGCTAATCAACCATGACGCTGCCATCGTAAGGGATGGCTGAGAGTTTGTCTTTATGAACGTGGGACAGTAAGTGGGGCACGGAGCGGGGGTGCAGGGAGGTGCCAGCTGGTGATCATTGTGCAGAAAGCTGAAGAATGTGGCTTAACAAGATTCTGACTCCTCCCAGTTTATTACCTAGCATGGATTTCCTTCAAAATACAGATTTCGTGTGAAAAGTCCAACTGCCACAAACTGCTTGGGAAGGGTGGATGCTGACAGGCAGGGCTTTTGTGAAAGACGGGAATGAACCCTGACCTGTCGCTAATAGGAGTTGTGCCAAACTCATCACATACATTAAAAAATAGAAAAGGATTTATTTTTTTTTTAGTTCTATGCTCCCTCTAAACCTCGAGTGGAGAGGCCGGGCGTGGTGGCTCACACCTGTAATCCCAGCATTTTGGGAGGCTGAGGTGGGTGGATCACCTGAGGTCAGGAGTTCGAGACCAGCCTGACCAACATGGAGAAACCCCGTCTCTACTAAAAATACAAAATTAGCCGGGGGTGGTAGCAGGTGCCTGTAATCCCAGCTACTCGGGAGGCTGAGGCAGGAGAATTGCTTGAACCTGGGAGGTGGAGTTTGCAGTGAGCTGAGATCGCACCCTTGCGCTCTGGCCTGGGCAACAAAAGTGAAACTATGTTTCAAAAAAAAAAAAGCTGCAGTGGAGAGTCTGGAGTTCCCATCCCCACCACTCACAGCCTCCCCCATCATCAGCGTCCCCCACCAGAGTGGCACATTTGATAGGACTGAGGAACCTACTTTGATGCATCATTATCATACATTGTATTTTTAATCCTCACAACGGCCCTGCAAGATCGGCCCTGTTTTTACCACCCCCCACCTCCACTGCTTTAAGGGTGAGGCCACTGTGCTTCTGGGCATCCAGTAACAACTCCTCGGAGCCAGAATCTGACTCCTCACAGGCCTGAGCACTGCACCCCGTGGCCTCCTGCCTGTGCTCACCGTGGCCTGGTCTGCGCTGCACGTGTCCCGTTAGCTCCACCTTACAGGTGCGGAAATGCAGGCTTGGAGCTGAGAGACTTGGCCAGGGTCACAGGGCAGAGAGCAGATTCTCCAACTCAGGGTCCCAAGTCCACACGCTTTCCTCTCCACCAGATTTGAAGATTGTACCAGGAGAGCCGCAGTGTTCCAGAGCTACTGAGGGGCTGGGCTGGGATTTGCTGTATTCGAGAAGACCCCCTTGGACCCGAGAGGCTGTGGGCTTGGGGAGCATGAGGAGGTTTCACAGCAGAAAGGACACCCCGGGGCTCCTGGATAAGCCAGAAAATGTGCCAGGGGAAGTCGGGCTCCAAGGGCACCACTCTGGGCTTCCAGCTGTGTGGGCTGGACCAAGAAGGCTCAAAGAAATGATCTCAGGCTTGAAGTGGGGAGAAGAAACTGTATTATGAAGGCAGACGAACAGTTCCTGCAAAAGTGAGATTTGTGTGTGCAGCTGGGCCGCACTGGACCAGGGATGAGAGTGGGTGCCCGGGACTCGCCTATACTGCCTGGGGGTGCAGCCCGCACTCCTCACTATAGTCAGATCAACTATGCGTGCTTTCCAGTGGCCTGGGAGAGGACTCCATAGGGAGGGATGCTTACCTTGTGGGCTTTGGAATATAAGCCCTTTCACCTTCTCCGCTGGTCCTCATCACGTTGGCAAGGCAGGTATTGTGACCCTGTTTTCTCAGGTGAGGACATGGAGGCTGGGAGGGGTCTAGAGACTGGCCTGGCTAGTAGGAGGCTGAGTCAGGATTTGAACCAGCAGATCATCTGACCCCGGAGCCAGTCGTGGGCGGCACAGCGGGAGCTGCAACCGAGGCTCTTGACTCCTGCGTCGTCATTCCCTGAGGTCCACAGGACAACCAGTTGGGGACCTGGGGCCCCATCCTGATGCCCTGGGGAGAGGTGCTAGGCCCCTTTTGGGTCTATGGGCTACTTTTGGGCCAGTGGAGCTGGGTAAAGACCATCTCAAACCCTGTGCCAGGGGAGGTCAGACTCCAAGAGCGCCACCTTTGGGCTTCCAGCTGTGTAGGCTGGACCAAGAAGGCTCAGAGAATTAGGGGGTTCGTATTTGATCCTTTTCCTTCCAAGACTGGGATTACCAGATAAAACACAGGGCATCCAGTTACATTTGAATTTCAGGTAACAATTTTTTTTAAGTGTAAGTATGTAGCCAATATTGCATGAGAAATACTCATGCTAAAAAGTTATTCGTCGTTTATCTGAAATGCAAGTTCAAATTTAACCGAGTACCCTGTATTTTTATTTGCTAAATCTAGAAACCCTCTCCAAGAGGCTCCTTGGCCCACTCACAGGGAGAGCCCGATCTCCCTCTAGACAGGGGAGGCCCCCTTTCTCAGGCCAGAAAAGATCTTGTAGTAAACTACTCAAGAGGCTGAGGCAGGAGGATCGCTTGAGCCCAGGAATTCAAGACCTGCCTGGGCAACAGAGCAAGACCCTGTCTCTAGGGAAGATATCCTACCGTAGCCTCCCTCGGGGACTCCCATTCCTCCCACCTCAGGGCCAGTCAAGGGAACAGGCCTCTGCTCTGGGCAGAAGTGCTGGCAGCCGCTCTCTGAAAAGCTAGGTGTTGCCTCAGGGTCTCCCGGTGTCCTGTGGAAAATGCCTGGCCACGGTTTCCATGGTTCCCAGGCTCCAACCCTGCAGTTCTCAGCCCTCATTCAGGAGGGGCCTCGGCAGGGTGGGGGGTGCCGTCTTTCCCTTGCTGGAGCCCCAAGGACTCTGCCGGCTCCCTCGCTTTGGCAGCAGCACTGCCCACCCTGTCTCTGGAGGTTCCCCCGCCTCAATCCACCCAGCTACCCCGAAAGGCACAATCATAGGCCTTTCTCGTCTTTTAAGGGTTTTTACTTCCATGGGGAACTATGTGTTGGATGAGAAAAGTATCCGGGGAAGGGGACAGAGGTTCAGAAAGCTCTGCGAGTCCTGGACGCTGGTCTGCCTTCTTGGCTCACCCTGGAAGGTGGACGCTGGCCCCACACATCCCCTCTTAAAGACGCAGGCCGATAGCCAGCAGATCCTGGGGCTTGCTGGCCCCAAGTGAGTTGTCAGGGTTTCAGAGGACACCAGTCATGGCAACCCCAGCTCCATGGCTGCCACACAGGCCTGGGCTTCCCAGGACTGCCTCCTTCTTGTTCGCTTATGTAGATGAAAAATGAGGTAACGGCACTCCCCTGCCCCACCCTCCTCCCAGAAGTGCCCAGGGTGTAAACGCAATAGCTTGTGTGAAGTCCACTGGAACCCAGGCTCACCAAGTCAGTCTTAACCAACACAGGCCCCAGCACCCGCAGAGCAGACACTGCGATGACAACGGACGACACAGAAGTGCCCGCTATGACTCTAGCACCGGGCCACGCCGCTCTGGAAACTCAAACGCTGAGCGCTGAGACCTCTTCTAGGGCCTCAACCCCAGCCGGCCCCATTCCAGAAGCAGAGACCAGGGGAGCCAAGAGAATTTCCCCTGCAAGAGAGACCAGGAGTTTCACAAAAACATCTCCCAACTTCATGGTGCTGATCGCCACCTCCGTGGAGACATCAGCCGCCAGTGGCAGCCCCGAGGGAGCTGGAATGACCACAGTTCAGACCATCACAGGCAGTGATCCCAGGGAAGCCATCTTTGACACCCTTTGCACCGATGACAGCTCTGAAGAGGCAAAGACACTCACAATGGACATATTGACATTGGCTCACACCTCCACAGAAGCTAAGGGCCTGTCCTCAGAGAGCAGCGCCTCTTCCGACAGCCCCCATCCAGTCATCACCCCGTCACGGGCCTCAGAGAGCAGCGCCTCTTCCGACGGCCCCCATCCAGTCATCACCCCGTCACGGGCCTCAGAGAGCAGCGCCTCTTCCGACGGCCCCCATCCAGTCATCACCCCGTCACGGGCCTCAGAGAGCAGCGCCTCTTCCGACGGCCCCCATCCAGTCATCACCCCGTCACGGGCCTCAGAGAGCAGCGCCTCTTCCGACGGCCCCCATCCAGTCATCACCCCGTCACGGGCCTCAGAGAGCAGCGCCTCTTCCGACGGCCCCCATCCAGTCATCACCCCGTCACGGGCCTCAGAGAGCAGCGCCTCTTCCGACGGCCCCCATCCAGTCATCACCCCGTCACGGGCCTCAGAGAGCAGCGCCTCTTCCGACGGCCCCCATCCAGTCATCACCCCGTCACGGGCCTCAGAGAGCAGCGCCTCTTCCGACGGCCCCCATCCAGTCATCACCCCGTCACGGGCCTCAGAGAGCAGCGCCTCTTCCGACGGCCTCCATCCAGTCATCACCCCGTCACGGGCCTCAGAGAGCAGCGCCTCTTCCGACGGCCCCCATCCAGTCATCACCCCGTCACGGGCCTCAGAGAGCAGCGCCTCTTCCGACGGCCCCCATCCAGTCATCACCCCCTCATGGTCCCCGGGATCTGACGTCACTCTCCTCGCTGAAGCCCTGGTGACTGTCACAAACATCGAGGTTATTAATTGCAGCATCACAGAAATAGAAACAACGACTTCCAGCATCCCTGGGGCCTCAGACACAGATCTCATCCCCACGGAAGGGGTGAAGGCCTCGTCCACCTCCGATCCACCAGCTCTGCCTGACTCCACTGAAGCAAAACCACACATCACTGAGGTCACAGCCTCTGCCGAGACCCTGTCCACAGCCGGCACCACAGAGTCAGCTGCACCTGATGCCACGGTTGGGACCCCACTCCCCACTAACAGCGCCACAGAAAGAGAAGTGACAGCACCCGGGGCCACGACCCTCAGTGGAGCTCTGGTCACAGTTAGCAGGAATCCCCTTGAAGAAACCTCAGCCCTCTCTGTTGAGACACCAAGTTACGTCAAAGTCTCAGGAGCAGCTCCGGTCTCCATAGAGGCTGGGTCAGCAGTGGGCAAAACAACTTCCTTTGCTGGGAGCTCTGCTTCCTCCTACAGCCCCTCGGAAGCCGCCCTCAAGAACTTCACCCCTTCAGAGACACCGACCATGGACATCGCAACCAAGGGGCCCTTCCCCACCAGCAGGGACCCTCTTCCTTCTGTCCCTCCGACTACAACCAACAGCAGCCGAGGGACGAACAGCACCTTAGCCAAGATCACAACCTCAGCGAAGACCACGATGAAGCCCCCAACAGCCACGCCCACGACTGCCCGGACGAGGCCGACCACAGACGTGAGTGCAGGTAAGTGGCTCCTGCTGGTGATCTTCGGGGATTTGGGATGCGGAGTTTCCAGGACGTCTCCGCACTTGAGGAGTGGAGAGGAGGGAAGGATCTGGAGCCTACTCAGAGCCTGCTCCTGATGTTGCCTCTTCGTGATCTTCTAGTGGTTCTTGGCGAAATCAGGAAAAGGCAGATGGAGGGTTGTGTATGGAAAGGGGTGGGGATGGAAGTCCGGAGAAATGGTTTGCGGTCTCGGCTCTGCCTGTAACAACCCGAGTGACCTTGGGCAAGTCCCTGTCCCTCTCTGGGCCTCAGTTTCTCCACCTGTATTTGGAGAGGGTTGGAATGGGCACTGAAGTCCTGTCCAGCTCTGACCTTCTGTGAAGTGCACTGTTGAGCAGCTCTGGAAGCTTCTATTCCAGCCATAGCCACACAGAGGAGCAGCAGGCAGGCATCAGGCCCAAGCTGCTGCTCTCTGACAGGCTGGGACCCCATGAAAGTGGGGCCTGCTGGATGCATTTCCTGGGATTTATGCCATAGATAGTGACTTAAAATAAATTAATACAGGCCTGGAGCGGTGGCTTATGCCTGTAATCCCAGCACTTTGGGAGGCAGAGGCCGGCGGATCACCTGAGGTCAGGAGTTCGAGACCAGGCTGACCAACATGGTGAAACCCCATCTCTACTAAAAATATGAAAATTAGCTGGGCGCAGTGGTGGGCGCCTGTAATCCCAGCTACTTGGGAGACTGAGGCAGGAGAATCACTTGAACCCGGGAGGTGGAGGTTACAGTGAGCTGAGACGGAGTGAAACTCCGTCTCAAAAAAAAAAGGTAAGATAAAATAAGCAAATACAGCGAAGGCTTGGGAGTTTAAAGCTACATCTCTGAGGCAACAGGGACTTCTCAGGGGAGAAGTTCATTGTCAGAGGCTGCTTGGTCAGTCCAGCTTCTGGTCAGCCTGTAGCCTCCACCTCCACTTCCTGTCACTCTGCCCTTGGGCCTCATCTCTGTGTATCCGCAGCTTGTTACCACCTTTCTGGGGGAGGTGGGAATACAAATATTAATCACAACCACTCAATACATAAAGATATTATTGAATATCTTTCATGTTATAGGCAGGGGTGATATAAACATGTTTCACACCCAGTAAGCACTGGCCCCAGCAGAACGTTCTCTCCGGTGCCAGGCAGTGTGCCACCAGCTTTGCATATGTTATCTGATGCCAGGCAGTGTGCCACCGGCTTTGTATATGTTATCTGATGCCAGGCAGTGTGCCACCGGCTTTGCATATGTTATCTGATGCCAGGCAGTGTACCACCAGCTTTGCATATGTTATCTGATGCCAGGCAGTGTACCACCGGCTTTGCATATGTTATCTGATGCCAGGCAGTGTGCCACCAGCTTTGCATATGTTATGATGCCAGGCAGTGTGCCACCAGCTTTGCATATGTTATCTCCTCTATTTAACCTTCAAAACAGCCTTAGGAGGTGGGTAACACGACCCCATCTGACAGGGTTAAAGATGGTAGCTAAACTGCTCTGGAAAGTGAAGGGGTGGCCTGCCCCTCCACACCTGTGGGTATTTCTAGTCGGGTGGGATGAGAGACTGAGAAAAGAAATAAGGCACAGAGACAAAGTATAGAGAAACAACAGTGGGCCCAGGGGACCGTCGCTCAGCATACCAAGGACCTGCACCGGCACCAGTCTCTGAGTTTTCTCAGTTTTTATTGATTATTATTTTCATTATTTTAGCAAAAAGGAATGTAGTAGGAGAGCAGGGTGATAATAAGGAGAAGGTCAGCAAGAAACATGTGAGCAAAAGAATCTGTGTCATAATTAAGTTCAAGGGAAGATACTATGCCTGGATGTGCACGTAGGCCAGATTTATGTTTCTCTCCACCCAAACATCTCAGCAGAGTAAAGAATAATAAAGCAGCATTGCTGCAAACATGTCTCACCTCCCGCCACAGGGTGGTTTTTCTCCTGTCTCAGAATTGAACAAATGTACAATCGGGTTTTATACTGAGACATTCAGTTCCCAGGGGCAGGCAGGAGACAGTGGCCTTCCTCTATCTCAACTGCAAGAGGAGATCCTCTTTTACTAATCCACCTCAGCACAGACCCTTTACGGGTGTCAGCCTGGGGGACGGTCAGGTCTTTGTCATCCCACAAGGCCATATTTCAGACTATACATGGGGAGAAAGCTTGGACAATAACCTGCTTTCAAGGGCAGAGGTCCCTGCGGCTTTCCACAGTGCATTGTGCCCCTGGTTTATTGAGACTAGAGAATGGCGATGACTTCTACCAAGTATACTGCTTGTAAACATTTTGTTAACAAGGCACGTCCTGCACAGCCCTAGATCCCTTAAACCTTGATTTTATACAACACATGTTTTTATGAGCTCAAGGTTGGGGCAAAGTTACAAATTAACAACATCTCAGCAAAGCTTGTTTAAAGTACAGGTCTTTTTCAAAATGGAGTCTCATGTCTTTCCTTTCTACAGAGACACAGTGACAGTCTGATCGCTCCTTCTTTTCCCTGGAAAGAAAAATACTTTATTATTTGTTGATTAGATAAGACATTCATATGATTTGAAATGGAAAGGTACGAAAAGGTTCACCATAAAATGCCTTTCTCCCCTGGCTGTGCCCCCACCCAGTTCTCTCCACACATGTAACCCGTGAGATTGTCTCTTGTGTGTAATTTTCTGCACATGAAATGTACATACGGAAGCAAATATATGTGACTATTTCATCCTCCTCTTTTTTTTTTTTTTTTTTTTTGAGACAGTTTCGCTCTTGTTGCCCAGGTTGGAGTGTAGTGCTGCGATCTCAGATCACCACAACCTCCGCCTCCCAGGTTCAGGCGATTCTCCTGCCTCAGCCTCCTGAGTAGCTGGGATTACAGGCACGCACCACCATGCCCGGCTCATTTTGTGTTTTTAGTAAAGACGGGATTTCTCCATGTTGGTCAGGCTGGTCTCAAACTCCCGATCTCAGGTGATCCACCTGCCTCTGCCTCCCAAAGTGCTGGGATGACAGGTGTGAGCCACTGCGCCCAGCCCTGATTTTCATCTTACTGTTCTCCATTTGCAGGTGAAAATGGAGGTTTCCTCCTCCTGCGGCTGAGTGTGGCTTCCCCGGAAGACCTCACTGACCCCAGAGTGGCAGAAAGGCTGATGCAGCAGGTGAGTGGGCACTTTCCGGGCCAGGGGAGTAGAGGAAGGGGCGAGGTTCGCAGGGGCTGCAGGGAAGACCCGCAGGACACAGAAGAGCAGCTACCGCGCTTGGAAGGGAGTCTCGTTTCTTACGGAGAATTGGGAGCTGAATCTGAGGATCTCTGCCTGGCTTTGCTTCTGCCTGCCTTCTCCGAGTTCTTCATTTCCTTCTCTGCAATGTAAACATGTGACTCCTAGAGCCCCCAGTTTCTTCTGGTCCTTGGAAGCTTGGCCTTCTGGCCTCTGAGGCAAAGGTCAGTGATACTGATGGGAGGGTAGGTCGGACTCTTGGTTGCAAGTGGCAGAAACCCAAGTCAGGGCAGTTTATGCAAAAAAAAAAAAAAAAAAAAAAAGGCAAGGTCTGAGAAACCTACAAGTGTCTCTTCAGCTTCAGTACGGCTGGATCCAGCAGCTCCAGCGCCATCACAGGGACTTTCTCTTTCTTTCCCTGTCTTAGCTTTACTCCCTTCATTCTTCAGAGTCTTTCTTCATGTGTATGAAAAGGCAGCCTTGTTAGCCATAGATTCACAAGGGACTTCCATCTCCCCACATTTTCTTTTCTTTTTTCTTTTTCTTTCTTTCTTTTTGTTTTTTGAGACGAAGTCTCGCTCTGTCGCCCAGGCTGGAGTGCAGTGGTGCGATCTCAGCTCACTGCAAGCTCCGCCTCCTGGGTTCACGCCATTCTCCTGCCTCAGCCTCCCAAGTAGCTGGGACTACAGGCGCCCGCCACCACGCCCAACTAATTTTTATGTTTTTTTTTTTAGTAGAGACGGGGTTTCACCGTGTTAGCCAGAATAGTCTCAATCTCCTGACCTCGTGATCCACCCGTCTTGGCCTCCCAAAGTGCTGGGATTACAGACATGAGCCACCGCACCCGGCCCCCTCTCCCCAAATTTTCATGTCATCTGGGGAAGTGCAGGTCTCCATGGCCTGCAAGGGTCACCATGACTGACAACCCAGTCAGGATCCCATAGAGGAAGGATGAGCCCCAAGAAAATAGGGAGGCTAGGCAGAAAAAACCGCAGAGATGTATACTCTAGATGAGGACCATGATTGGGATGTATTTGTACAAGTTGGGAAAATTCTCCTAAAACCCACTGGATAGAACTTCCAATGGTAAAGTTCCGGGGTCAGGGTTTTGAGGATGGGGATGGTGTGGCTTGTTGGAGGTTAGACTGGGTCAGCTCAGTGCAGATGTCACGGGCCTGGCCTCACTGAGGGGTGGGTTGTTCTCCTAATGTGTGGTACAAAGTAGCAGATGGGGCATGATGGGAAGTGTCTAAGCTCTGCTCACAGATGTAACCGTGAAAACAGGCCCAGTGCACAGTCTAATGTGGATTGCCTCTTTGACAGTGCCCTTGCTAATACCTGAAGCTTGCATTCAGCACCTCTCACAGTCAATGGGACAGTGCCCTTGCTAATACCTGAAGCTTGCATTCAGCACCTCTCACAGTCAATGGGTGCCACACTGCTGAAAAGTGGCTCAGGCTTCCTGTCATCCCTTGCAAGGGTAAACCTGGCAGAGATGCTGGCTGGGGGTCTTATGCCAGGTGTAGAGTTCATAGCCAGGCTGGACAGGTGGAATGATTGCCCTTAGCAGAGGGAAGCAAGATATGTCCGTGGAGAGTGGGATCCTTTGTTGCAGGCGAAAGAAAACCTCTGTCTGTCGTAAGTAAAAGGGGGATTTGTTGGCAGCGTCCCAGAGTGCATAGAATCAAAGCAATGCCAGGACAGCAGGCTTGGAAAATAGGCAGGAGGGCCCCCAGGAGCTCTGAGGTCCAGACAGTGGGATCAGGCTGGCTGGGACACTGTCCCTCTTGCTGGTCAGTCACTATTGGATGCTGCCACAGCCAAGGGGCATCACGTGGCCTGCACACACATTCACATAGGTTCTCGCTGCCTTTTTGTCTCACTGGACTTTTTGCTCCAGAGCCAAAGTCCTGAGTAGGAACATTTGATAGGCTGAGCTTAGCCCTTGTACTCCCATGAGCCCACAGCCAGGTGCCAGGGGACGGGAAGAAGGGATGTCTGTGTCCTTGGAGTTCTCTTAGCAGCAGTGAGGCCAATCGTGACTCCCACTGTGAGGAGTTCCCTAAACATGGCACGGGGGCTCGACACCCGATGGCCAAATAAGTGACAAATGCCCCCGGCATGTGATAATCAAAGTAGCGAGTGTGAATCCTTGTGGGAGAGGGAAGCCAATTGCTTTTGTTTTGTTTTGTTTTGTTTTGTTTTGTTTTGTTTTGTTTTCTGAGACTGAGTCTCACTCTGTCATCCAAGCTGGAGTGCAGTGGTGCGATCTTGGCTCACCACAACCTCCGCCTCCCAGGTTCAAGCCATTCTCCTGCCTCAACCTTCTGAGTAGCTGGGATTACAGGCCCGCACCACCATACCTGGCTAATTTTTGTATTTTTAGTAGAGATGGAGTTTCAGGTTTCAGCATCTTGGCCAGGCTAGTCTTGAACTCTTGACCTCATGATCCACCCACCTCAGCCTCCCAAAGTGCTGGGATTACAGGCGTTGAGTCATTGCGTCCGGCTGGGAAGCCAGTTTTCTTTTTCTTTTTCTTTTTCTTTCTCTTTTTCTTTTCTTTTCTTTTATTTTTCTTGAGACAGATTCTCGCTCTGTCGTCCAGGCTGGAGTGCAATGGCACGATCTCGGCTCACTGCAACCTCCACCTCCCGGATTCAAGCAATTCTCCTGCCTCAACCTCCCTAGTAGCTGGGATTACAGGTGCACACTACCACTCCTGGCTAATTTTTGTATTTTTAGTAGAGATGGGGTTTCTCCATGTTGGTCAGGCTGGTCTCGAACTCCTGACCTCAGGTGACCCACCTGCCTCTGCTTCCCAAAGCACTGGGATTATTGGCGTGAGCCACCGCACCCGGCCGGGAAGCCAGTTTTGAATCTCAGGTCTAAGCCCCCAAACCAGAAATGATTTCAGGAATCGGAAAGAAACCGCGAGATCAGGAGCAGGTCAAGCAGCTGAGGCGCAGGCACCAGGCCACATGGGGTTGGGCATCAGTTCTCGTCCGGGGACAGCCCAACAGTTTGGGCTCGGGGATTAGACAATGAGCTTAGGAACCAGCTAGATCTGGGTGTGAATTCTAGTTCCCAACTGTGTGATCTTGGATAAGTTATTCTATGCGACTTTCATCCCTTATAAAATGAGGATCCTAACACCTGCTTTATAAGGTTGCTGTGAGGTTTAGATGACATAATGTGTGTGAGGCACCAGCCTGTGTCCAGCATGTAGGAGGCCCAGGAAGGGTTGCCGTCCTCCGCATGCACTCTGCCCCAGTGTCCCTTCCTGTCCTCTGCCTCTGGCGAGCTCATGGGCCAGATGGGCTGAAAGGACAGCTGGCTCTTTTGCTCTCCAGCTCCACCGGGAACTCCACGCCCACGCGCCTCACTTCCAGGTCTCCTTACTGCGTGTCAGGAGAGGCTAACGGACATCAGCTGCAGCCAGGCATGTCCCGTATGCCAAAAGAGGGTGCTGCCCCTAGCCTGGGCCCCCACCGACAGACTGCAGCTGCGTTACTGTGCTGAGAGGTACCCAGAAGGTTCCCATGAAGGGCAGCATGTCCAAGCCCCTGACCCCAGATGTGGCAACAGGACCCTCGCTCACATCCACCGGAGTGTATGTGTGGGGAGGGGCTTCACCTGTTCCCAGAGGTGTCCTTGGACTCACCTTGGCACATGTTCTGTGTTTCAGTAAAGAGAGACCTGATCACCCATCTGTGTGCTTCCATCCTGCATTAAAATTCACTCAGTGTGGCCCAGAGGCTGTCTATTGATCTGCATGCTTTCGCCATTTTTATAGTACAGGGATTGTGTATAGTCTCACTGCTACCTCCTCCTTCTACTCCCCCAGGTCTTGGTTTGGACTTTGATGATAGCATTTACTGAGACGGGCCTGGAGCCTGTCGAACAGCCCGCTGCAGCAGGGCAGGGACCACCTTTGTTCATCTCAGTATCCCCTGAACTAGCAGAGTGTCTGGCCTGCAGTGGGATCGCAGAGAATGTGGAATTGACCTAAATTTAAATTTCAAGTTCTGGACACAAGCCTCAATTATTCCTCTTATATGTTATAACTTACATGCTATTATTTTTTTAAAAAATTAATATGGTTTACTTTTTATTATAAAAGTAAAACTTGGCCAGGCTCAGTGGCTCACGCCTGTAATCCCAGCACTTTGGGAGGCCGAGGCCGGTGGATCACGAGGTCAGGAGTTTGAGACTAGCCTGGCCAACATGGTGAAACCCCGTCTCTACTAAAAACACGAAAATTAGCTGGGTGTGGTGGCAGGTGCCTGTAATCCCAGCTACCCAGGAGGCTGAGACGGGAGAATCACTTGAACCCGGGAGGCAGAGGTTGCAGTGACCCAAGATCCTACCACTGCACCCCAGCCTGGGCAAAAGGGCAAGACTCTGTCTCATAAATAAATAAATTTAAAATAAAAGTAAAACTTGTTTATGATTTCAAAATTTTGAAATATTCCAAAGACCAAGCAAAGTAAGAAGTGGGAAGAGGAGAAAGAAAAACTTTTCTATAATCCCACCTCTTAGATACAACGATTTATTTTTTAAAATTGAGACAGGGTCTCACTCTCACCCAAACTGCAGTGCAGTGGTGCGACCATGGCTCACTGCAGCCTCCACCTCCCAGCTCCAGTGATCCTCCCACCTCAGCCTCCTGAGGAGCTGGGACCACAGCTGGCTAATTTTTGTACTTTGTTTTGTAAAAAAGGGGCTTTACCATGTTGAGCAGGTTGGTCTCGATCTTCTGAGCTCAAGCAGTCCTCCTGCCTCAGACTCGCAAAGTGCTGGGATTACAGACATGAGCCACTGTGCCCAGCCTTATATACAGCTATTATTATTAATGTATACTGTGTATTCATTTCAATTCTTAATCTCTCCACTTGGATGTTGATGAAATACATACCTCACATTCAACATTTCTTTCTTTTTTTTTTTCTTTTTGAGATGGAAAGGAGCCTGGCTCTGTCACCCAGGCTGGAGTGCAGTGGCGTGATCTCAGCTCACTGCAAGCTCCACCTCTTGGGTTCACGTGATTCTCCTGCCTCAGCCTCCTGAGTATCTGGGACTACAGGTGCCACCACCATGCTCGGCTAATTTTTTGAATTTTTAGTAGAGACGGAGTTTCACCGTGTCAGCCAGCCTGGTCTCAAACTCCTGACCTCAAGTGATCCACCCACCTCGGCCTCCCAAAGTGCTGGGATTCCAGTTAATGAGCACTGCTCCTGGCCTCCACATTTCTAAAATCGAAGTTCTGATCTTTTCCTCTGGACCTGCCCCACCTGCATCTTCCCCATCTCAGTTAACGTCAGTTGCATCCTTCAGGTGCTCAGGCCGAAATCCTCGGCACCGTCTTTATTCCCCTCTCACATTTTGCACCAGGAAATTCTGCTGGCTCTAAGGCCATCAAACTGTGCCCAGAATGTGGCCCCTCCTCAGCATCTCCAGTGCTACCACCGAGATGGTCCACGATGCCATCATCTCTCACCTGCACTACTACAGGTCTCCCTGTTTCCAGCTCAGCCCCCACCCCAGTCTAGTCCCAGTGTGTCAGCCAGGGCTGTCTTTTTACAACATAAGGCAGACCACACCACTTCTTTGCTCCAATCCTCCCATTTCACTCAGAAGAAAAGCTCCGACAACAGCTGCAAAGCCGTGCACGACCTGCGCCCCTCCCCTGCCTCCTTAATTTGCTGACTGCACCGCAGCCACACGGACGTCTTTCTTGTCCCTTGAATGCGCTGGGCCTGCTCTTGCCTTGGGACCTTTCTGTGCATTGCTTAGTCTGCTCAGAAGCCTTCTCCTCTACATATCCACTTGTCTAAACCCTCTACCTCCACCTTCATGCCCCTTCTCAGCGAGGTCTACCATGACCATGCTGCCTACAAATTCAGTCTCCCCTTCTGTACTTTGACGTACTTTATAGTGCTGATCACAATTGAACGTCATACATATTTTGTTTTCTTTATTATCTGAGTCCTCCAACTAGAATGAAAGATTTTGCCCATTATGGTTTCCCTAGTGCCAAGAACAGTACCTGGCACATACCAGGGGCTCAGTAAACATTTGTTAGATGAATGAAGGAAACAAGGAGACAATGTTGATGCTGCTGTGAGCAAGGGGAGTCTGAACGTTTGACAGATCCCTTCCATTTCTGGAGTGGGGCAGAATGAGTTTCATAAAGTAGCTCGGACAAAAATAATTCGCTCATCTTGGCATATATGTTGGGCAGCTGCCGCAGAAGAGAGACTGAGCTATGTGCCGTGGAGGATTCAAATCTGTCTCTTCTCCCAGGGATTGAAGTTAGACACGTACAGCAATAATAAGTTGAAAGAACTTATTTACACCGCATATAGCAACAACAGGATGCCCTTAATATATAGAGAACTCTTACAGCGCAAGAAAATAAAAAGGCAAACATACCAGTAGAAAAATGGGTAAATGGCAACAGGTAATTCACAAAAGAAGAAATACAAATGTCCTCTCCTCCCGCCACCACCCCCCATGAAAAAGAACGTGTGACTTCAGTAGCAAAAACAGGTCCATTAATACAGTGAGATATTGCTTATTGTATGTCTGTACTGATCTATACTGGGTGCTGGGCAAACGGGCATTCTTAAACACTCCTAGTAGGGAAGAAATTGGTACAACCTTTCCGGAGGACAATTTAACTGATTTATTTAAAGCCCGAAAAATGTACATACCTTTAACTCAGCAGTTTCGTTACTGATTTATCTTAAGGAAGTAATTTAGAATCTGTGCCTAACTGTTTACAATAACTCATAGATGAAAAAGGCAAAACAAAACACAAGTAACCTCAAATCTCCCCATGTAACAGTTTGCTTAAACACTATAGCGTTATTTTACGCAAGCTACAGAAGCATTGTTGAAACATATATTTATTAGGACAGAAAAAAATTCATGAAATGTTATTTTATCTTCTTTTTTCTTAAAATGGAACTTAAAAAAAATTTTTTTAACTCCAACCTACCTTTTACACCATCTGCAGAGCTTTCCTCTCCCAAATCAAAGCTACTCCTGTTCCTACCTCCAGGATGGAATCCCCACCTTCGTATGCAAGGGTCTTCATGATATGGCCTCAGCCAACTATCTTAGCTCCAGGTCACGGCCCCATCTTCCATATCCTATGCTGCTTGCACAGGAAGCAGCTCGCTAACCCCAGGCACACCTGCTTTCATCTGGAGCGTCTGCCCATCATGATTCCTCCCCCTGGTCCCTTCACCTGGAAAACTCCTATTCATTCCTCAAAGCCCAGTTCAGATGGCACCTCTCCATGACTTCATCAGATTCCCTACAGAGGTGCTGATTTTCTGGTCTCTTGTGTTTCTGTTGTAACACTTAACATGCTGTATTATAATGTGCTTATTTTATTTACAAGTTTGTTACATTGTACGTGCTCGAGGACAAGCAGCCGGTAGTATTCACCTCTGTCATCACAGAAGCTGGCGTGGAGCCCTCCACATGAGGGCACTGATGTGTTTGCTGAGTGACTGGGACAATGGTGGGCCACGTGAGCCCCGAAACTTTCAGTGGGCTCTGAAAGTTAAGAAAAGGGCATTCAGTACTGAAATCACACAAAACGTAAATTTAATGATATAATTGTTCCGAAGCTGCTCTATAATTTGGCATGAATGGAGAGCAGTTTACAAAAATGACAACACCACTGTTATATAAACCCAATTCTTAAATAGGTTTTCTTCTCTTGCTTTGTATTTCCTCAAGTGGGTGATACTTAATACAGTGGCTCATGTAATCTTAATTACTACATATGAGGACACGGACATGTACATATGATGCTGATTACTGTTATTTTTGGAAGTAAAAAAATTGTAAAATTTGACTAGCTTAAAAAATCTGTAAAATATGGGATACACAAATTAGAGACTGGGTGCGGTGGCTCATGCCTGTAATCCCAGCACTTTGAGAGGCCGAGGCAGGCGGATCACTTGAGGCCAGGAGTTTGAGACCAACCCAGGCAACATGGTGAAATCCTGTCTCTACTAAAAATACACAAATTAGCTGGGCATAGTGGCAGGTGCCTGTAATCCCAACTACTCAAAAGGGTGAGGCAGGAGAATCACTTGAACCTGGGAGGCGGAGGTTGCAGTGAGCTGAGATTGCGTCACTGCACTCCAGCCTGGTGACAGAGCGAGACCGTGTCTCAAAACGTCAACAAGAACAACACAAATTAGAAGCATTTGGGAACTAAAATGTATCATTATGATTGCATGTGGGTGGGTTGGGGGGGGACAATAAAGAGGAAGAGAGACTGTGTGTGTGTGTGTGTGTGTGTGTGCACGCCTGTATTACTGGAGATGACCAAAGTTAGCAGGAGTAATGTTACCAAGCTAACAGGAGCCAGAAGTCCCTGGAGAAAACTCTCCAGCTATTTAAGATTCTAAAGTGTGTGTATATGAGGTAAAAATGCCACGTTTTATAAAGACAAATTTAAGCATGGACCTAAACAAGATGGCCTGTCTAAAGTCACCTGTGACTTGGTGTGAGCTCTGAGACGGCGAAACTCCACAGCAATGATGAAGACAACGTGAGGTGGAACTTCTCTGACCAGAGACCTCATCTGAAGCTTCTGCCACAGCCAGTCCTGCCTTCATCCCTTGAGAGGGGGATTGGCCACCAAAGTATGCAAAGCATTTGAATGGAAACGAATTCCGTGGGTGCGCCCCACACTTTAATAGTGGCCATCATATCACTTTCTGGTGCCAGTAAATGCGTAAAGGGGTGCATCATGCCAGTGACCTATCACTCATCATCCCAGTCATTAAGCCACTTACTTCAGGCCTGTGGGGAGTTTCTGGAAGGCTCCTTTGAAGCAGGGAAGAATGGGCAAGGGAGTCTGTGTCTTTGGCCAAGCTTTGCCCCAGATAGCTCCTTTTGCCACTCTCGAGCCCACTGAAGGTGTCCCAGCTGCTGCCACCAGCAGGGGTCGGGGGTCTGCACCCTTCTCTCTTCCAAGCAAACTCACACCTGGCACCCTGGGGAAGGGTCAGTCAGTTATTTTATTCCAGGGGCCAAAGCGACAGAATCCAGACCACTTGTAGCCAGGGAATGAGCTGACGAAAATGGATGGTTGTGTCCTTGTCCTTCTGACTGTCCCACTCGTGAAGGGGCAGCTCCCTGTCCAGCTAGAGAAGGGTGTCCCCAGGTGCCCTCTCCTTTCTTGGGACGCCTCCTCCTCCCGTGCTGTCAGGGCCTCAGCGGCTTTGACTGGGCTCACCAAGAAAACACAGAACAGCCACTTAAATGAGAACCTCGGATAAACGGTGAACACTTAAAAATATACAAGAATGTTCCAAATAGTTCATGGGATATCTTTAAACTAAAACAATTATTTGTGGTTAATCTGAAATTTAAGCTGGGCTGCTTGTATTTTCATTTGCTAAATTGGACAGCCCTACTTTCATTATTATTATTATTATTATTATTGAGACCCAGTCTCACTCTGTCACCCAGGCTGGAGTGCAGTGGTGCCATCTCGGCTCACTGCAAGCTCCGCCTCCTGGTTTCAAGGGATTCTCCTGTCTCAGCCTCCCAAGTAGCTGGGATTACAGGTGTGCGCCACCACGCCCAGCTAATTTGTTATATTTTTGGTAGAAACAGGGTTTCACCATGTTGGTCAGGCTGGTCTTGAACTCCTGACCTCAGGTGACTTGCCTGCCTCGGCCTCCCAAAGTGCTGGGATTACAGGTGTGAGCCACCACACCTGGCCCAGACAGCCCTACTTTTAATGCATCCTCTCCCACGAGGGTCCCTGGCTCCTCTCTTCCGTCCAATCTGCGGGTCTCCTTCAGGGGTAGCAAGCTCCCAGCCTTCTCCCAGGTATTGGGCCTCTCCTCTGCCTCGGGAGGAGCTGTCCATCAAACACAGGCTCTGTCCTCCCGCTCCCTCCATTGCTTAGTGTGTGAAGGTGGACAGGGGAGGAGGGACCTTGGGTTTGGGGCGGTTCTGCTCCCCACTCGCTGCTTTGCTTTTGCTCTTTCTGGTTTCCTTTCTCCGCAGTTGATGACACAGGGCACCCACAGCGCTCACGTGCCTTCCATGGTGGGGGTGAATCCTTTGCCAATAGTGCCTGGTGGGTTTCAGGTAAGTTGTAACTTTTGGACCTTCTGCTGTCTCTGACTTTGAGTCACATGACAAGGTCCTCATGGAATTGGGATTCTGGCAGCCAGGTGAGGGCGGTCTCACCAGCTCCTTCATGCCTGCAGGCCTCCCCCTTCCTCACAACTGATGGATGGTTGGCTCCCTAGCCGCCCCGTTAGTGCCATGTGTGCTTAATTCTTTTAAAAATTTAAATATATTAATTTTAAAATCATCTTTTAAATAATAAAATTTGCTTTTTAGAGCAGTTTTGGGTTTACAGCAAAATTTTCCTGAGTGGAAAATACAGAAAGTTCCCATATGCCCCCTGCCACACACACATATACCTACGCCCAGCCTCCCCCACCACCAACGCCCTGCACCAGGTGGCACGTGTGACAGTCGATGCGTCCACGTCAACATATCCTCATCAAAGTCCAGAGTTGACAGCACATTTTTGGCGTTGGATATTCTCCATTCTCTATTCAACAACGTATCGGCTGGCCCGGCGCAGTGGCTCATGCCTGTAATCTCAGCACTTTGGGAGGTGGAGGCGGGTGGATCTCTTTGAGATCAGGAGTTCGAGACCAGCCTGGCCAACACGGCGAAAACCCATCTCTACTAAAAATACAAAAATTAGCCGGGTGTGGTGGCGCATGCCTGTAGTCTTAGCTACATGGAAGGCTGAGGCAGGAGAATCGCTTGAACCCGGGAGGTGGAGGTTGCAGTGAGCAGAGATCGCACCACTGCACTCCATTCTGGGCGACAGAGTGAGACTCAATCTCAAAAAATAACATAAATGTTTCTGCCATTGTAGCATCATACAGAAAAATAAGTAGTTTCAGTGCCCTAAAAATCCTCTGTGCTTCACTTATTCATCCCCAACCCCTGGCAACCACTGATCTTTTCACTGTCTCCATAGTTTTACCTTTTCCAGAATGTCATATAATTGCAACCGTAAGGTAAATAGCCTTTTCAGATTGTCTTCTTTCACATAGTATATGCATTTAAGTTTTCTGTATGTATTTTCATGGCTGTGTAATTCATTTCATTTTAGCACTGAATAATATTCCATCGTCTGAATGCACCATAGGTTATTTACCCGTTCACCTGCTGAAGGACATCTTGGTTGCTTCCAAGTTTTGGCAATTATGAATAAAGCTGCTATAAATTATGAATAAAGCTGCTATAAACCTCCATGTGCAGGTTTTCGTGTGGACAAAAACGTTTTCTGTCCCTTTGGGTAAATATCAAGGAGTGTGATTGCTGGACTGCATAGTAAGAGTATGGTTTAGTTTGGTAAGAAAGTGCCAAATTGCGGGCGCCTGTGGTCCCAGCTGCTGAGGAGGCTGAGGCAGGAGAATCGCGTGAACCCGGGAGGCGGAGCTTGCAGTGAGCCGAGATCGTGCCACTGCACTCCAGCCTGGGCGACAGAGCCAGACTCCATCTCCAAAAAAAAAAAAAAAAAAGAAACTGCCAAATTGTCTTCCAAAGTGGTTGTACCATGTTGCCTTCCCACCAGCAATGAAGGAGGGTTCCTGTTGCTCCACATCCTGAACAGCATTTGAAGTTTTCAGTGCTGTGGATTTTGATCATTCTTTTTTTCTTTTTCTTTTGAGACGGGGTCTCACTCCATTGCTCAGGCTGGAGTGAAGGCTGGATCGCGGCTCACTGCAGCCTCAACCTCCTGGGCTCAAGCAATCCTGCCATCTCAGCCTCCAGAGTAGCTGGGACCACAGTCACATGCTACCGTGCCCATATAATTTTTTAATTTTTTGTAGAGATGGGATCTTGCTTTGTTGCCCAGGCTGGTCTCAAACTCCTGGGCTCCAGTGATCCTCCTGCTTCAGCCTCCCAAAGTGCTGGGAGTACAGGTGTGAGCCACAGTGCCTGGTGACTGTGGTCATTCTAACAGGTGTGTATTGAGTACAGTTGTGAGCCACGATGCCTGGCGATTGTGGTCATTCTAACGGGTGTGCATGGGTTTCGCGTTGTTTGCGGTTCCCTAATGACATACGATGTTGAACATCTTTGTAGATGCTTATGTGCCATGTGAATGTCTTCTTTGGTGATATGTATGTTCAGTTTTTTTACCCATTTAAAAAACTGGGTTGTTCATTTTCTTATTGTTGAGTTGTAAGAGTTATTTGTATATTTAATTAATTAATTAATATTTTTTGAGACAGAGTCTCACTCTGTTGCCCAGGCTGGAGTGCAGTGGCGCGATCTCAGTTCACTGCAATCTCCGCCTCCTGGGTTCAAGTGATTATCCTGCCTCAGCCTCCCGAGTAGCTGGGATTACTACTACTGGTAGTAGTAATGGCGCCCGCCACCACACCCAGCTAATTTTTGTATTTTTAGTAGAGACAGGGTTTCACCATGTTGGCCAGGCTGGTCTCCAACGCCTGACCTCAATTGATCCGCTTACCTCAGCCTCCCAAAGTGCTGGGATTTCAGGTCTGAGCCAGTGCACCCGGCTCTTTGTATATTTTAGATAAAAGTCTTTAATCAGATGGGACTTTTGCAAATATTTTCATTCTCTTGCCATTGCCTTTCACAGAGAAGAAGTTTTTAATGTTAATGAAGTTCAGCTCATCAATTATTTCCTTCATGGATCATGCCCTTGCTATTGTATCTAAAATGTCATCACCATACTCAAGGTCATTTAGATTTTCTCCTATATTATCTTCTGGGAGTCTTACAGTTTTGCATTTTATTGAGGTTTATGATTCATTTTGAGTTTTTATGAAAGGTATAAGGTCTGTGTCTAGATTTTTTTTTTTTTTTTTTTTTTTTTTTTTTTTTTTTTGCTTGTGGATGTCCGGTTGTCCCAGCGTCATTTATTGAAAACACTATCTCTGCTCCATTGTGTGGCCTCTGCTGCTTTGTCAAAGATCAGTTGACACATTTATACAGGTCTATTAGAAATATTACTTTTAATATTCTGGGCTCTCTATTCTGTTCCATTGATCTATTTGTCTATTCTTTTGCCAGTATCATGCTGCTTTCATGACTATAGCTTTAGAGTAAGCCTTGAAGTCAGGTGGTATCAGTCCTCTGACCATTCTCCATCAATATTGATTTGGCTATTTTGGATCTTTTGCCTCTCCACATAAACTTTAGAGCCAGTTTATCCATATCTACAAATAACTTCCTGGGATTTTGATTAAGATTGTGTCATTATGTAGAATCTGTAGATCAAGTTGGCTATCTTGATCTGCTGCTATCTTGATAATATTGAGAACTGCTATCTTAATAATATTGAGTCTTCTGGCCTGTTGTGCTGGCGCACACCTATAATCCCAGCACTTTGGGATGCCGAGGAGGGTGGATCACCTGAGGTCAGGAGTTTGAGATCAGCCTGGCCAAAATGCCGAAACCCTATCTCTACTAAAAATACAAAAAAAAATTAGCCAGGCGTGGTGGTGTGTGCCTGTAATCCCAGCTACTCATGAGGCTGAGGCAAGAGAATTGCTTGAACCCGGGAGGCTGAGGTTGCAGTGAGCTGAGATGGTGCCACTGCACTCCAGCCTGGGTGACAGAGGGAGACTCCATCTCAAAAAAAAAAAAAAAAAAGAGTCTTCCTGTTCATAAACATAGAATGTCATCCCATTTATGAAGTTCTTTGATATCTTTCATCAGAGTTTTATAGTTTTTCTCATATAGATCTTGTACATATTTTGTTACATTTACACCTCAGTATTTCATTTTGGGGGATGCTAATGTAAATGGTCATATGTATTTAATTTTATTATTCATTTTTCTTTTTTTGTTTCCTGTCTTGCTCAAATATTTTTAATTCTAAATTCCAATTGTTCTTTGCTGGCACACACGAAAGCTGTTGACGTTAGGACACTAACCTTATAT
Organism: Homo sapiens; assembly: GCF_000001405.40. NCBI lineage: Eukaryota > Metazoa > Chordata > Mammalia > Primates > Hominidae > Homo > Homo sapiens. The sequence continues at coordinate 114,289 of NT_187689.1, forward strand.
CATGAAACTTGTCTGAAATTGCTTCTTTGTTCTGGGGTTTTTTCCTTTTGTCAACTCTTAGATTTTTTTACATAGATGATTGTGTCATCTGTGAACAAAGCAGTTTTGTTTCTTCCTTTTTATTCTGTATACCTTTTATTTCCCTTTTGTGTCTAGTTGCATTGGCCAAGACCTCCAGCAGGATGTTGAGAATCGATGGTGAGAGGGGACGTTCTTGCCTTGTTACTAATCTTAGGGGAAAGCATCTAATTTCTCACCGTTAAGGATGATGTTAGCTGTAGGTTTTTGTAGATATTCTTTTATTTATTTATTTATTTATTTATTTTTTGAGACAGAGTCTCACTCTGTCACCCAGGCTGGAGTGCAGTGGTGTGATCTCGGCTCACTGCAATCTCCGCCTCCTGGGTTCACACCATTCTCCTGCCTCAGCCTCCCAAGCAGCTGGGACTACAGGCGCCCACCACCACGCCCAGCTAATTTTTTGTGTTTTTAGTAGAGATGGGGTTTCACCGTGTTAGCCAGGATGGTCTCGATCTCCTGAACTCGTGATCCGCCTGCCTCGGCCTCCCAAAGTGCTGGGATTACAGACGTGAGCCACCATGCCTGGCCGATCATGTGATTTTTCTTCTCTAGCCTGTTGATGTAACGGATTGCATTAGCTGATTTTTGAATATTGAACCAGTCTTGCATACCTGGGATAAATCTCTGTTGGTCATGGCCTATAATTCTTTTTACATATTGTTGAACTGTATTTGCTAATATTTTGTTGGTAATTTTTGCATCTATGTGAGATATATTGGTCTATAGTCGTCTTGTAATGTCTTTGTCCCGTTTTGGCATTAGGGTGACAGTGACAAATGACTTAGGAAGTATTCCTCCTGCTTCTATCTTCTGGAAAAGATTGCAGAAAATAGGTATTATTTCCCCTTAAATATCTGCTAAAATTCACCAGCGAACTCATCTGTGCTGTGTGCTTGCTTCTTGATAAATGAATGCTGTGACTGCAGTTTTGTATGGAGACTTCATTACATTCCACTTTGGGGCATATGAGGGTAAAGCTACAGCTTTGTATGTAGGAGAGTGGCTTCACCTATTGGGAGAAGTCATTCTCCATGTAAGTTTGGAGTCTGCTCAGATCAAAGACTGTGAAGGTTAATATTGAGTGTCAACTTGATTGGACTGAAGGATGCAACGTATTGTTCCTGGGTGTCTCTCTGTGAGGGTGTTGGCAATGGAGACTAATATTTGAATCAGTGGACTGGGAGAGGCAGGCTCACTCTCAGTCTGGGTGGACACAATCTAATCAGCTGCCAGCATAGCCAGAATAAAGCAGGCAGAGGAATGTGGAAGGATTACACTGGCTAAGTCTTCCAGCCTTCATCTTTCTCCCGTGCTGGATGCTTCCTGCCCTCAAACATCGGACTTCCAGTTCTTCAGCTTTTGGACTCTTGGACTTACACTGGTGGTTTGTCAGGGGCTCTTGGGCCTTCTGCCACAGACTTAAGGTTACACTGTCGGCTTCCCTACTTTTGAGATCTTGGGATTCAGACTAGCTTCCCTGCTTCTCAGCTTGCAGACAGCCTATTGTGGACCTCACTTTGTGATCGTGTGAGTCGATACTCCTTCATAAACTCCCCTTTATATATACATCTATCCTATTAGTCCTGACCCTCTAGGGAACCCTAATACAAAGATTATATATATATTCTTTATATATATATATATATATATATTTTTTTTTTTTTTTTTTTTTTGAGACAGAGTCTTGCTCTGTTGCCCAGGCTGGAGTGCAGTGGCACAATCTCAGCTCACTGCAACCTCCGCCTCCTGGGTTCAAGAGATTCTCCTGCCTCAGCCTCCTGAGTAGCTGGGATTATAGGCGTGTGCCACCATGCCCAGCGAATTTTTGTATTTTAGTAGAGACAGGGTTTCACTATGTTGGCCAGGCTGGTCTCAAACTCCTGGCCTCAAGTGATCTGCCCGCCTTGGCCTCCCAAAATGTTGGGATTACAGGCGTGAGCCACCGTGCCCAACCAAAGATATTCCTTTGGGAGCTTCCTTCAACAGCACTTACCCACCCGCAAGAATGAGCTTGAACACCTGCTTTGCACCATGTGACCTCCTTTCTGACCCCATGACTACATTTTATTGGACCAGGCATAAACAACTGATGTAAATTGGACCAGTCAGATTCTCTCTTCAGGGATTTGGGATTTAGAACTAAGAGGCAGCTACCTAGTTTCTGCATAAAGTTGGAATTGAGATTTTCTAGACACAGGAATTGTGGACCAATTGTGTTGGAGTTATTACACCAGATAGGTGTAAAAGTCCCGCCTGCTGAGAGGATTCTGTGGAAGCTGATCAGGTTGCTGGGGCAAGTGGAGGCAGGGTAGAGGTGAAGGGCTGTGGGATGGAGAACCTCAGAAGACTCCATCTGGGGTCCGGGAAAGGACAGAGAGGGTATATGAGGGGTCGGGCCCTCCAGATCTAAGGGTGGGGTGGTGGCATGTTTCTTGAGTTGGTTCCTGGAAAGGGAGCTGAAATGGTTTAATCGCTCTTCCATGAAACGCAGGCGGTGGGGACAGCCACCAGACAGGTAAACACACTGTGCATTGATCCTTTTACGACTTTTGTGAAACTGATGGACAGGCAGGCAGGGAGGGGTCCTGGGAGAGAGTCTGGGGCACTCCATCTTGGGGTATCTCTTTCGCTCTCCTCCTTAGCGGGCGAAGCTTTGGCCTGTGCTGGGGTGGGGGAAGAAGAAGGTGATGTGGAGCATGAAGCAAGGTTGGGGTGGAGCAACTGAGGGTTTCCAGCATGGGTAACCGGGCTGATTAGGACTGGATCCAGCTGCCCCTAATGCTCCACTGCTGCCCAGCACTTAACCTCCACACTCTGTGCCCTCTGATGGTTGGGAGAAGTCTGTGTCCAGCCCTTCGGCCACCAGAAGAAAATCAAGAATGGAATTCCTGGTTTTGGAGACACAAAAAGTCAGAGAGACTTTATTTAAATAGAGTTAATTTGAAGTAAACCAGAGAGTTTTGTGTGCAGAAGCATTTTGCTTAACTTAGGGCCATCACCACATTATGAACTCGTGTGTGTGTGTGTGTGTGTGCACGCGCGCGTGCACAGGCTAGTGTCCTTCTGTGGGTGTGTCTGCGTGAGGACCCATCCATGCATGTTTGATCTTTATGGCCTCCCCCTGTGCACCTGCGCCTATGGATAAGGTATAGTCTTGTCTTGATTCCCAGTATTCATTCTCCTTGAAGAATCCTGACAGCCTTCAGTCACCTTCCCTTTTCCAGTCTCCCAAAAGCAATGGCGCCTTAAATGTGCGGTAAGGATGAGGTGAGTCTTGAGGTAGCCTAGGCCACAGCTGCCCCTTCAAGGCAAGGCCTCAGCTGAGTTCAGGAAATAGGAGAACCTGGCCCCGGAGCAACCCCAGAAGCGCAGGACCACGAACGTCCCGACCCCCAGCAGCAAGAGGCCGCCCAGGGCCCCAAAGAAGATGCCGAAGAACGCGTCGAGTTTCATGCTCAGGTGCTCACAGTGCTCGCCCCAGGCCGTGTAGATGGAGAAGGACACACAGCTGGTGACCAAGAGAGACAGACAGGCGGTCAGAGGCGGGAGCTCAGCCTCCCAGCCCCTCCTCTTCTGCTGGGGAAGAAGAGGTTCTGTAGGAGAGGCTGGGCTCGCCCCACTCTCCGGAGAGACTGAGTCAGCCCTGAGGCCGTGCTGAAGTGAGACCACTGGGCAAAGGAGGCAGGTGTGGGCTTTAAAAACATGGGCCTGGGCCGGCGCGGGGGCTCACGCCTGTAATCCCAGCACATTGAGAGGCTGAGGCGGGCGCATCACTTGAGGTCAGGGGTTCGAGACCAGACTGGCCAACACGGTGAAACCCCATCTCTACTAAAAATACAAAATTAGCCAGGCGTGGTGGTGCGCACCTGTAATCCCAGCTACTCAGGAGGCTGAGGCAGAATCGCTTGAACCTGGGAGGTGGAGGTTGCAGTGAGCCGAGATTGCAACACTGCACTCCAGCCTGGGGGACAGAGCAAGACTCCGTCTCAAAAAACAAAAACAAAAACCTGGTGTGAATTCAGCTGCACGTGCAGTCAGCTGCACCTGGGCGGCAGGGATGCCGGCCACAGGTGGGCATGCGCAGTCACACCCCCGCCCCAGCCCGGCCCCGCCCCGCCCCGCCCACCCGGAGAGCCGGGCCCCGCCCCACCCGCGCTCCGCCCGCCCCCTCCTTCGGCGGGATCTGGAACTGCAGCTGGCGGAGGGCCCGGAGCCCAGGTCTGCGTGGGGCCGCGGCTTCCTGCGCTGTTAACCAGCGGAGCCCCGGGGACTGCTGATGAGGGCAGGGGCAAAGGCGCCTCGCTTGACTGAGGGGCAGGACTGGCCTAGACACAGGACTGCAGGTTCTTTTCCCACAAGGAGACAGCAGGGAAGCAGCAGCCAGATCAGGTGGGAGGGTTTGACTTTGGGCCCTGGCGCGGTGGCTCACGCCTGTAATCTCAGCACTTTGGGAGGCCAAGGTGGACGGATCACCTGAGGTCAGGAGTTCGAGACCAGCCTGACCAACATGGCGAAACCCCGTCTCTACTAAAAATGCAAAAATCAGCTGGGCGTGGTGGTGCATGCCTGTAGTCCCAACTACTCGGGAGGCTGAGGCAGGAGAATCGCTTGAACGCGGGAGAAGGACGTTGCAGTGAGCCGAGAACGCACCACTGCACTCCAGCCTGGGCGACAAATGACACTCCATCTCAAAACATAAAAATATAAAAAATGTTTGGCTTTGGAAACCATGCCCTGCTGCTTAACCTACTGCGTCCTGGGGCAGGTTCCTTGTCATCTCTAAGCTGCAGTTTTCTCATCTTCGAAATAGTTCTAAGCCCCCCTATGGCTCTTTTGGGTTTCAGAGTTTGTAATATAGCGCCTTTATTCTCCACACAGAGCAGGCACTCACAACTCTCCTTTTCCACTGTCCTCTCTTCCCTGGTCTCTGATCTCTCGAGCCATCCTAATTCCTGGACCCCTTGCAGTGTCTTGCCCAGCTTGGGTTCCCCAGCACTGTCCTCCACCTCCTGGCCACAGCCCTATGCACCTGCAGCGGGGCCCACTGGGCAGGTGCTGGCACTGGCCTCCATGGTCACAGTAGCCCCTACTGCACGGGGACACGCAGGTGAAGCCGCTCTGGGGGCTGTAGACCAGGTCGTAGCCCTTGTAGCCATCGCATCTGAAGTAAGCCTTCAGCGTGCTCACGTTCACTGTCGGGAAGGACACAGATTAACACAGAAAGCAACCGATGAACACTAAATCAGTACCTTTTCAGCCACGAATTCCTTTTCGGGTGTTTATCCTGAGAAATAATTGGAGAAGTGCACAGATACATATGCCCCTGGACGTTCAGATCAGCATGGTGGATAATAGTAACGTTTCAGAAGTAGGGTCTGGTTAAATAAACTACTGCACATCCTTACCAAGGGATGGTGCTTCCTATGGAAAAAGTTTCCTAGGGAAAAAGGTTCCTAGGGAAAAAGGTTCCTGTGGAAAAAGGTTCCTATGGAAAATGCTTTCCTGAAGAGCACATGCTTTGAAGGTGGCCAGACTTGGGTGGAAACTGAAACTCTGCTAGTGACTAGATGTGTAATTCAGGGAACATTCCTTCACTCTTTCAGCTTCAGTTTCCTTATCTTTAAAAGGAAATGATCATAATAGCACTTATGCTGCTGTGAGATTTAAATGAGATAATGTGTCCACAGTACTCAGTACAGTGCCGGACACACAGTAAGCACTCAAACAATGGTAATGATTATTATAATGTATTTTAAAATATGACACTATATTCAAACATACCATCATAATATGTCAAATGGGAATGTGGACAGAATATATGAGACAACCTGTTCACAACTGTTTAATGAGGAGGTTTTCCAACATTAGGAATGATTTGATCCTTCAGTAAAAAATGGATGTCTGAAGGTTCCTAGGCATAAAAGAAAGTTCAGAAGGATATGTAGGAAATACTGTTGTCTCTCTGGGGATTGGGATTACAGGGTTTTTTTCCTCTTTTCTTTTTGTTAAGTTTGTGTTTCCTAAAGTTTCTGCAATAAACATACGATGCTTGTATAATAAAAATTATAGGTTTTCCTTAATTGCATAGTCAGGGCTTGCCTCCCTGCGCCTCCTACCCCAACTCCCCAACATACAGTAGTTCTGAGGGATTTCACCCCCTGCTCCGGGAGAGAGCGGGCTTAGCCTGGATTCTGGGAGAAGCTCTTGCTTGGTCCCAGACCCAAGTAAAACAGCAGTTCCTGTTGTGTTTGGGGCGGCCCCTGCCCTGTTCTCTGCCCTATACAGAAAATAGGACGTGTTATTCCTTTGTTTCTCTGACAAGCTTGCCAACTTATTCCTGTTCCAGGAAAACCGGGGGCTGTCAGCACTGAAAGGGGGCTCAGAAATCCCATCTCATTTTCAGATGGGGGTGCTGAGGCCTGGCCTGGGGAAGGTGCTTGGGGAGTGTTGAGGCCTGGCCTCGGGGAGGTGCTGGGGGGTGTTGAGGCCTGGCCTGGGGAAGGTGCTGGGGGGTGTTGAGGCCTGGCCTGGCCTGGGGAAGGTGCTGGGGGGTGTTGAGGCCTGGCCTGGCCTGGGGAAGGTGCTTGCACAGGGTGACACCATTTCAGGGAGTAGTTGCCTCTGTCCCTGGCCAGTCTCCAGTCTCCAGCTTCATATCCTCCCGCTGGAGAGCAGAGACGATGGGGGTGTCCCTGTGTATGCTTAAGTGCAATGGCATTTTAAGAAAACTATTAGCAATTTTATGAAACTAAATTGCTGCTGTTTTATTAGCAGCCACAGTCAGCAAGGCCCTGGCTGGGTGCTTGCTCCGTGAAGCTGTATACGTGTGACTGCCTCAGCAGTGCTGGCTGCTCCTGCTCTCGAATCTAAAAAGCAGCTGGACAAAATGTTCACGTTTTCGCTCAAAACCAAACAAACAGAAAAACTCAATTAGCTTGTTTGTGTGGGCTGAAGCACCTCTGTTTGCCCGCCCCCCGCAGTGACCCCCATAGTGTCCCCGGAATGGACGGACTCACGGGCTGTCACATCGCGCACGTCTTCCCCGGAGATGGGCTGGAAGACCACGTCGTTCCTGGGCTCCTCACTCCTCCGTGGAACGTGGTATAAGAACGCCTCCACCACCGCGGCCAGCAGCTGGTTGTTCAGGAAGTCAATGACCGGGCCCCGAGGGCGGTACTGGAACTCCGAGATGACCATCCAGTGTTGGATGGGGCTTCCCGAGGCCGGTGCTGCAGAATCGCTGTGTGGGAGGGCAACGGTGAGGGGGGGTGGGGGGCTGGGGGTGGGGGATGAGGAAGAGATCTGGGGGCTTAGGGGGACACAGTCCCACTTACATTCGTTCCACTTGGCTGTTGCGGAGAAAGGCCCGCATGTCCAGGGTCCCCAGTCTGTATGCCACCTAGGTTAGAGGATGGCAGATGGGGGTGGGGGTGAGGCCCCATCCGGGGGGGAGACGCCCTCCCACCTTGATGGGTGTATTCATCCCTGTTTCCTCCTGGAACGGGAGCCCCAGGACCCCAGCACCTTCCTCACCTGTCTCTGCACCCTTGCACTCTAGCCTAGCTCAGTGAGTGTCATGGGTCCTTGCTTAATAATGTTTGTTGAGAGTGAAGGGTTTTCCATTCTGTCCCCCCCTCAGCCTCATATGACGAGCAGAGAATCTGACATGAATGGCCCCTACCTTGCCTCTGACACATGACTCATGACCTCCTCCCCAGTATATTGAACATGGGTTGTTTAGACCTAGGAGATGGTCGGGGCTGGGGGTGTCAAGGTGACTTAGGTGGAGTCTAAACTCAAAGAGTGCATTGTCTGGCGCAGGTGACAAATGTCAACAGATTTTACCGTGTGGAGTGTGGAGTGGGGAGTGCTAGGCTTGCAGTAGTGATAATAGCAGTCATCATGTTTGAATACTTGTGTGTCAGGCACTGGACTAAATGCTTGACACGCGTTATCATTTAAACGGTGATACGGCCTGTTGACTCAGGTGCTATGATTGTCCCTGTGTTTACAGATGACCTGTTATATGATGTGTCTAGTTAGCACACCTGCTCTAGTGAGGGGCAGAGCAGGGATTCTGATTCTGGGTGTGCAGGATTCTACAGCCCCAACCACTCAGCAGTTGTGCCACTTTGCCTGTGACTGAGGTATGGCATGGCAGCCAAGAAGAGGGAGCCGCCCGTTCCCTCTGGGAAGTCAGGGAAGACTCCCGGGAGGTGAAATGTCCTTTAGTTTCTTTCAGATCATAACCAAGATGCTTAGAGGTCTCGGCTGGGGTGACTTGGCACCCTGGCCTCTGCTTATGATGAGTCGAGGTTTCTGTCTTGGGCCTTCCTCACTTCCTAATGCCCTGCACCTCCCATGGGGCAAGAGGCTCCGGCCTCCTCTGGCAGTTGAATCCAGATGGATGACAAGATGAAGGCCGCACAGCGATGGTTCCGCCCTGGCCTGAACCCGCCAAGCGCCCCCTCCCACCCAGAGCGCGGCCTGCAGCACTGACCGAGGCGTTGACTTCTGCCATGGAGGCATTTTCCTCTTCACTGAGCAAGAGCTGGATGACTCTTAAGGGAAGTTCTGGAGATGGGAGAAGCAAATGTATCATCACCCCACGGTTTACCCAGACTTACCCAAAAAGTCTGTCGGGCCAGCCCAAGTTGACTGCTCCATTCCAGTGACAGAAGGTCACTGAAGAAACCGGGAGAAGTGGCCCTCACCCTACATTCCACAGTGACAGAAGGTCGCTGAAGAAACCGGGAGAAGTGGCCCTCACCCTACATTCCACAGTGACAGAAGGTCGCTGAGCAAACCGGGAGAAGTGGCCCTCACCCTACATTCCACAGTGACAGAAGGTTGCTGAAGAAACCGGGAGAAGTGGCCCTCACGCTAGGGCTCACTCCACTATGCTCCGGGCCTCCCCAGCGCTCATCTCACTGAGCCAGCTGTGAGGTCTCTGCCTCCGTCCTTCCTCCATAGGCCACACAGGCCCGTGGTCCTTGCCGTGACAGCTTGCCTCGCCAGCTCCCATAGCCCGCACCTTACACCATCCCAGAGAAATCTGGAGCTCTGTCCTGTGACCCCAGAGCTTCCTCATCTTCCCCAAAGGTGGGCGGAGTGCGGGGGTGAGAGGGTGGGGCCCAGGAAGAGTGCGGGGGTGAGAGGGCGGGGTCTCTGGCGGTACCTAGGTTGACAGTTGGACTGAAGTTGTTCCCAGCCAGGAAGCAGCGGCTGTCAGTGAAGGCTGGGGGGCAGGTGCACATGGGCTGACAGCCCAGAGTCTGGGAGATGTAGCAGTGGCCTTGATTGTAGCAGTAATTCACAGGGCAGGACTGGTTCTGACACAGGAAAGAGCTCCCCAGAGCTGCAGAGTGAGTAGGGAGGTCAGCAGCAGCGCGCAGGGCAGCAGAGGGACGGCCCAGCCCGTGGAAACCCGCTCCGGGACAGGCTTGCTTTCCCCCAGTGTTCCACTTCGGGCCACTCGGAACCCCAAACCATCCTTCCCCCCTTTTCCAGGCGTTTCTCTGCAGGGCAACCCCTTTCCCCGGCCAGACAGGTATTCTTCCACTTTTGTGGAGGGACTGGAGTGTTTCTCAGACCCTCTGCTTCAGAAAGGACCCCGAAGGCTGGCAGAGGAGGGGCCCCCAGCTGGCTTTCCTCACGCCCTCCCCTCTCACGTCCATCTCCTTTTCTGCCTTTATAAAAGCTGCGGTTCTACCCACTCTGGCCTCGGCTCTGAAGGCACAGTGATCTGTAGATTTTATTTGGGTGCCTTAGGGGGCTTGGTAAAGGCCTCGCTGTGATCTCCCTCATCAGACTCTGGTGACTCAGAGCGGGAGGAACAGATGGCTGGGAGGACTCAAAGGGAAAATCAGGCACCTTTGCTGCCGGATCCCCACGCCAGCCCCTCCAAACGTCCTGACTCGTGAGATGCAGAGATCCTGAGCCTCGTGTCTCTGAAGATCCCCAGGGATCCCGAGGACCCAGCTTGCCCGGTTCTCTGGCGGCTGCTGAAGTCTCCTCCCCAAACCATCTTCAGTCTTTCGCCCGGGGCTCCCCCCATCAATGCCTCAGGGATGCCCAGCCCCGTCCCCTCCCCTATGCCTGTACAACCTCTTCTCCTTCAGCCCCACACCATCCACCACCCCCTTTCCAGGCCTGCCTAGATTTCCCATACCTGCCTAGATGATTTCCCACACCTGCCTAGATTTCCCACACCTGCCTAGATTGAGCATTCTAAAGATCTGCTGGAAAAAGGAGAGAAATGGTTTGCCTTTGGCTGTCTACACCCTTGAGCTATCAGCTGCTCCCAGAAGCGCCTGCTCCAGGCCCTGTTCCCGGCTCACCCGCACAGTGCCGCCCATCCCCAGTCAGGTTTGGAGGGCAGGCCTCGCAGCCCTTCCCAGGAACGCAGTGGACACTCGGGAAGCACGGCTCCTCACAGGCATCCTCGGAGCCCTCGCAGTAGCGGCCGAAGGTGCCCCCGTCACACTTGCAGCCAGCCACCTGGAGGAGGGTTGCCGATCACGGGCGGCCAGGAGACCAAACTGGGAAGGGCTTCTGGGTGTTTCTGACTGACCCCTTTGGCCTGAGAACCCGTGGACCCTGAGTCATGTCTCAGCCCCACCAGCACCTGCTGAGCACCTTCTTGACCAGGCCGTGGGGCGGCAAGGCCCTGCCTAAAGCCACACGGTAGTCCTGCCCAGCTGGCCTCCCTGGGTCATTGTTTACCCTGACCCCCTGCCTGGCCCTGCACCAGGATCTCAGCCTCTTCCCTCTCACACTCTAGCTCTTTGCCTGAAATCCTTTCTAGAGTAAGATGGGGGATGCATGAATGATTGAAGCATGAATGAATGAATGAATGTATCCATGTATAGATGTATGTATCCATGTATGTATGTATCCATGTATGTATGTGTGTATCCATGCATGTATGCATGTATGTATCCATGTGTGTATCCATGTGTGTATGTATCATGTATGTATCCATGTAGATATGTATCAATGTATGTATCCATGTATGTATCCATGTATGTATGTGTGTGTCATGCATGTATGCATGTATCCATGTATGTATCCATATGTGTGTATCCATGTGTGTATGTATCCATGTGTGTATGTATCCATGTATGTCCTATTGCTTGAAAACTGGATTCCTTATTTATTTTGAGACAGGGTCCCACTCGGTTGCCCAGGCTGGAGTGCAATGTCTTGATCTTGGCTCACTGCAAACTCCACCTCCCAGGTTCAAGCCATCCTCCCACCTCAGCCTCCCGAGGAGCTGGGGCTACAGGCATGCACCACCACGCCCACTAATTTTTGTATTTTTCTTCTGCTTTTTTTTTTAATGAGACAGTCTCGTTCTGTTTCCCACGCTGCAGTGCAGTGTCTCGATCTCGGCTCACTGCAATGTCCCCCTCCCAAGTTAAAGCAATTCTTGTGCCTCAGCCTCCCAAATACTTGAGATTACAGGCATATGCCACCACGCCCAGCTAATTTTTTGATTTTTAGTAGAGACAGGGTCTTGCCATATTGCCCAGGCTGGTCTCAAAGTCCTGAGCTCAAGCAATCCGCCTGCCTCAGGCTCCTATGTGGCCTGCAAACTGGATTTCATATAAGCTGAAATTGACCTCCCTTGCTGACTCCCAAACCAAGAAGACAGAGCCTCCCTGCTGAGCACTGTGAGAAAACACAGCAGCCAGTACAGCAGCTCAGCAAAGGCTGCGGCGCCGAGACCTCACCAAGCTCCCTGCGCTCCCCTTTCTAACTCCCTTACTGAAGCGACTCGGGGAATCTCCCTAAAATGGAATCCTCTAACACTTGCTACTCCCAAGAGTGGATATTTGGGGATCTGTGGAATAGTATATTGATTTCAATCTCTTTTTCCCATTGTGTATTTTATGCTTTTCTACCCCCTACCCCACCAACCGTCCCTACCTCTATCCCTTTCGAGTACCCATTCTCTGCTCATGCTTCAGAAGGATGTGTGTGTGTGTCTGTGTGTGCGTGTGCATGCGTGTGTGTGTAAGTGGTGAAGGAGGTAGTTTTGTGTTGCCAGATAAACACTTTCCTTTCTGGCTCTTCCTTTACAACCAAAAATAAAAATAAAAAAGCAGATAGGACAAGAGTCGTGGAATTAGGCCAAGTATCTTGGCTAGAAACATGGAGAAGTAGTTTCTCCAAACTGGAAAAGATGTTTCTTTTAGCTGGAAGGAGATAGTAAAAGAGAAAGCAAAGGGGCTTGGAGGTGTCAAGATAGAGGGACCCGCAGCTCTCTTCCCAGCACCGTGATGATGACATCCTAGGGAGAAATGACTGTGGGGTGCTTCTAGGCAGACAGGACTGTAAGCGGCCTCAGAAAAGGTGTCCTGTGTCTGAGCAAGGCACAGAAGCAGCAGAGCCTCTCCCTGGGTCTGAAGGGGAAGTGGGGCGGAGCTGTGATGGAAACCTGTGTGGACTCACGCCCAGGGACCCACAACCACCTTCCACCCCACACCGCAGGGCCCTCTGCTGGGCTTCGCCGCAGAGCTGTGGGGCGCTGTGAGAAAGACGGAGGTGGAAGTTTCCTGCCAACCTGGCAGAAGGGGAGGTGGGAGATAAAAATCCAGTTGAACTATAAGCAATAAAGTAAGGTTCTTTCCTCTTTCCTTCCTTCCTTCCTTTTTCTTTCTTTCGTCCTTCTTTTTCTCCAATATAGTTTCTTTCTTTCTTTCTTTTTCTCCTTTCCCTTTCTTTCCTTTCCTTTCTTTCCTTTCCTTTCTTTCCCTCCTTCTTTCTTTCTTTTCTTTTCTTTTCTTTTCTTTTCTTTCTTTTTGACATAGAGTCTCACTCTGTTGCCCAGGCTGGAGTACAATGGCGCAATCTTGGCTCACTGTAACCTCCACCTCCCGGGTGCAAGCGATTTTCCTGCCGCAGCCTCCCGAGTAGCTGGGACTACAGGCGCCTGCCACCACGCCCAGCTAATTTTTGTATTTTTAGTAGAGATGGGGTTTCACCATGTTGGTCAGGATGGTCTCGATCTCCTGACCTTGTGATCCGCTTGCCTCAGCCTCCAAAAGTGCTGAGATTAAAGGCGTGAGCCACTGCACCCGGCCAGAAAGTTCTCTTTCTTCCCATGTGAGTTTGTGGCCTGAGACTGGAATCTGCTCTACTCACCTACCACTGCTCCACCCATCTCCCAACACAGACACACCCAGGACAGGCAGAATCACAGCATCCATTCCACTCCCATTTCCTCTCCCCTCGGCACAGAAACTCCTCCCCCACCTCCCAACACTCACCTCCAGGGAGGAGTTGCCCACCCTGCTGGTCTGATTGTACAAACACTGGCTCTCTGCATTGCAATGGCAGACCACAGTCCTGGGCTGGAGTGCAGATGCCAAGCCAATCTTGGCACTTCTTGCTAGAATCTCCAGAGTGAATGGCTCCAGCGACTTGGGTGTCCACAGCAACGTCCCATTCTCTGCCCCGGGGAAGATGAGAATGTTGAGAGCTGGGAGACTCCTCGGCTCTGTGGTCTGATTGCTGATACGGGGCTTCCCCCACCCCTCTCAGGCCACCCTCCCCCTCCCCAGACAAATCTCATTGGTCATTTCCTTTGAGCAAGGCTGGTATCGGGGGTGATCCTGGTCACGCTCCCAGCTGGAAGGACGTGGCACCAGTCCAACATACTGATTGTAGCGGGGAACGCCACAGAGGGGAAAGCAGTTTCCTCCTGAAGAAACCCCAAAGGGCAGCCCTGGCTGGGCTCACACCAGGATGGGACATCCTGGGGGATGGAGGATCAAGGCCAGGATCCTCCAGACACCTCCCCAGGCTGCGCTGCCGGCCAAACTGGCTTCACTCTCACGGCAGCCCCATCCTTTGCCCTGATTTCTCACCCACCCCCCACTTCCTGGACCTTTCCCAGACACCCCCTTCAGACACCAGACTGTAGTGAAACACTACTACATATCTTCAGATCAAACTGATATTTTTCAAGAAAATAGGAAAGTCTCCTTAAAACAGCAGATTGAAAGGAAGTGACAGAGAATAGACGAACGTAATTTCCAGACCATCGTCCTTCAGGGGTGGGGCCCGTGGAGAAGAAAACCTCTCAGTGCCATTGTCTCGCACCTGGGAGGACGCACATGGGGCAAAAGGGATGCAGGCAAAGCAGTCCCTTCTGAGACACAGAGAGAAAGAACATCAGGCAGAGAGGCAAAGAGAACGCAAAATATGCCCCCCGGGGCTTTGGTTTAGCCAAGAACAGTCACCCTCAGAATTAGTGCTGGCAACAGACAGAAAGTGGCATCCCTTTGATGCCCTTGGACCCTTTGAATTAGTGCTGGCAACAGACGAAAGCAGCGTCCCTTGTGCTTGGAGCCTTTGGCCCTGATCATGGATGTAGGGCTCGGGGTCTCTAACACCTTTACGGAGAGGGAGCGATGGCACTCTACTGGGTCCTAGCCCAGGAAACCAGACAAGGAGAGACACGGCTAGGTAAACATGGTTGCCAGACAAAAAGAGCAAGAAAGGTACCAAACGAAAGTATTTTTCATATTTCTTTAAATCTTGTCCTACATTAGAGCCTTCCTTTAATAGATATAAAAATGTTGTAAATTGGTCATTTTAAATGTTGCACTTGATTATTCTAATAATTTGGTGAATGCATAATGACTAAAGATGACTATATATGATCAGATTGAGATTAAATGATCTTCAAATCTTTTTTTTGAGACAGAGTCTCGCTCTGTCACCAGGCTGGAGTGCAGTGACGCGATCTCAGCTCACTGCAACATCTGCCTCCTGGGTTCAAGCGATTCTCCTGCCTCAGTCTCCTGAGTAGCTGGGATTACAGGCATGCACCACCATGCCTGGCTTTTTTTTTTTTTTTTGTATTTTTAGTACAGACGGGGTTTCACCATGTTGGCCAGACTGGTCTCGAACTCCTGACCTCAGATGATCCGCCCACCTCGGCCTCCCAAAGCGCTGGGATGACAGGCATGAGCCACCGCGCCCAGCCTTGAATCAGTTCTATGTGCCCAGAGTCACTCTAGCTATCTGGCCAAACCGCCGTAAGCCCGTCACTACTACTTACTGGGGGGCACCTATTTGAGTTATAGATATCGCTCCTCGGAAATGCCGGTCCTGGATATTCAAATGAAAGAGTGACAGCAAGTGTTGCTGGGTGTAGCAATGCAGAATTTCCCAAATTTGACTCTGACCTCATCCCCTACCCACCTCCCCACTCTCCCCAGCCAGCCAAATAGTCCTACCAAAGAGCTCCAAGTCGGTGCAGCTGTCTCTGAGCGTGAAGTTGGCATCCTCAGCATTGCTGGTGTACTGAATCAGCGTGGTCTGCCCCTTGTAGGCTTCAATCACACGACCACCATTGATGGAGGGCGGGTACTGATCTGAAACACAAAGAGGGAATGGGGGTTCCGAGGCAGGACAGTCTCCTGCTTTATCAGCCTCCTCTCTTTCTCAACTCTAATATGTGTGAGGCATTCCCAGGACTGTGACCCACCTCTGGAAGAAGGAATTATTCTGTGTACCTGCTCTCGACTGACGCACAGCAGGCTGGGACTGTACTGCCCACCTAGCCAAATCTTTAGCCTCTTTCTCTCCCCCCACCTCCTCAAAAAGAGCTCCTTTCAGATTCTTTCCTGAACACAGTGCTATGCTGGGTATGACAAAAAGTGAATTAGAGAGCAGATTTGTTTGGACCATTACAAAGGGTTGTACCCTTAGACCAAAGGGTTGTACCTTTGGCAAAGGGCTGAAAACCTGAAGGGTGCTGGGTGTCTCATGTCTGTAATCCCAGCACTTTGGGAGGCCGAGGCCGGTGGATAACCTGAGGTCAGGAGTTCGCGACCAGCCTGACCAACATGGTGAAACCCTGTCTCTACTAAAAATACAAAATTAGTCAGGCATGGTGGCGGGTGCCTGTAATCTCAGCTATTCAGGAGGCTGAAACAGAAGAATCGCTTGAACCCGGGAAGCAGAGGTTGCGACGAGCCGAGATCACGTCACTGCACTCCAGCCTGGGCAACAAGAGCGAAACTCCGTCAACACACACACACACACGCACAAAACCTGGAGGGTCACATCTAAAGGGACATTGCATTTGTCCAGAAATAGAGAGGGAGTGAAACCTCTTCACGGGTCTGTTTCTCGGAGCCCTGCCATTTCCATTTCATAGTTGCTTCACACATTCATTCAGTCAGTCATTTAACAAACATTTATTGAGCTAAGTGGCTGGCACTGTTCTGGGTGGTGAGGATACAGTCATGAATGAATAATTAAAAAGATACCTGTGAAAATTATAAAATATGTTGAGTAATTATAAATGCTAAGGAGAAAAAAATAAAGCAGGGAAGGCAAACATGAAGTGTGGGTGAATGTGACATTTTAGACAGGGCGGCCAAGAGAGGCCTCACCAAGGAGGGGACATTGGAATGAAGACGTAAAGAAGGTGAGGGGCAAGCGTGTGGCTGTCCAGGGAAGGAAGGGTATTCCAGGCAAGAGAACAGCACGTGTGAAGCCTGGGAGCTGAGCGCACCTAGCGTGTTTGAAGAACACAGAGGAGCCTGCGGGGCTGGAGTGCAGGGAGCTGGGAAGGGGTCCAGCGCTAGGATGGAGTGGAGGGGGCTGGGAAGGCATCCAGCGCTAGGATGGATGGAGGGGGCTGGGAAGGGGTCCAGCGCTAGGATGGAGTGGAGGGGGCTGGGAAGGCGTCCAGCGCTAGTATGGAGTGAAGGGGGCTGGGAAGGCATCCAGCGCTAGGATGGACGGAGGGGGCTGGGAAGGCGTCCAGCACTAGGAGAAGAGCTCTGAGAAGCTGAACTGGGCCGAAGGCCACTGCAAGGATGGAGAGAGCCAGGGAAGTCTCTGAAGGGTTTGAGCAGAGGAATGCCAGGAGTGGAAGAATCTGCTCAGTGAATGCAGATGCACAGGGAAAAGCAGGGTCAGGCAAGGGCAGCTCCTCATCTGCTCCCGACTCTGAAAAGGCCTCCCCAGGCCTCGGGCCACTTACTGAGGGTGGCGTTCGCCTGCTCGTAGTTTTTACTGACTTCCCTCGTGTGAAGTCCGATGCTTGCGTTGCGCAGGGCCAGGGTGTCATAGATGCATGAGCTATCTCCGTCACAGTTGGAGATCAAATGTTCAGCCCAGGAGCTGTTTTTTTGCAGTTGTGAGTAGAAAACAGGGGTGAAGTTGGAAGGCAGCTGGTCATTCCTCTTGCCAAGGAGGCCTGTCCCGTTGATCTGCCCTGTAACACACAGAGCGCGGTGGTACCAGGCATGGCACTCAGCCTTATTCCATCTGTGTCCACCTCTACCCCTCACTTTAGATGGCTTGGAGCGGGGCGGTGGGAGTGCAGGGCCAGAGCGGTTTCCAGCTTCTGAGTCTAGAAACACCTGCTGCAGTGAGAGAGGACACTCCACGTCCCCCATTCTCTCCTCCAGGTAGAGAGAGGCAGGTGGGCTGGTGGTGGTGGGGACAGCCCTGGGGGGGCACAGATTCCTCAGACCTTAGGGAGGATGGAGGTCTGCTTCCTACAGGGCCGAGGGGGACGACATAAACATACCGGCTCCCCTCACCTGCCCCTCTGCCCCAGGACCCTGCCCAGACTCACAGGTCATTCCAAAGTGGAAAAGCATCTCCTCAGGGCTCCCTGGGGGAATGGTGGAGCCATTGGGCATCCTGAAGTCGTCCTCTGGATTGTTATTCCAGACCCCTGAGGGACAGAGTGGGAGGTTGGCCACCCTGGGCACGCGGCTGTCCCCTTCCTGGGGAGCATCCGGCGGACGCAGTGGGGAGAGGCCAGGGCCTGGCAGCCTCTGCTCTTGCACCTGCTGTCAGGCCTCCAGGGGAGCCGGGAGGACGGGCCCTCACACCCTGCCCGTCTGCCTTCGGGAGGGGCGGGAGGAAACGCGGGCAGCGGTGGAGGAGGGCGGGAGGATGTGGGAGGCAAGAGGAAAGGGAGAAAGGATGGCTGTGCCCCCCGCCTCCCCGCAGCCCCCCCTGATGCTCCCTTAGAGCGGGCGGAGGACAGGAAGGGAGCCTCGGGGGAGGCTGGAGAAGCCCCTCGGCTCCCGGCCCGCTCTGTGCCCCAAGGGTTCTGCTCCAAGGAGGCGGAGAAAGGGAGGCCGAGCAGGGCTGCCCGGGCCGCCGGCGTGGGGGTCCGAGCTCCGGCTGGCTCCGCGGAGCCTCAGAGGCAGGTCCGAGCCGCCCTCACCCAGGAGCCCCTCCGTGCGGTTCTGGTACTCGGGCGGGAGGCTGGCGGAGGCGTGGAGGATGTTGGAGAGCGCGATCACCGAGACGGTGGCCCAGCCGTCGAAGCTGGCCGAGACCTCAGAGCCGTTGCGGCTCAGGAGGACTCCGGTGGCGTTGAACGTCTCCTGGCCTGGAGCATCGGGAGGCAGCGGAGAGGAAGCCAGGTCGGCACCACGGCCCGCACCAAACCCGCGCCCTGCCGGGCCCGCACCACCCCCACCCCGCCCCTGGGGCTGAAGCCGGGAGGGGTCTGCACTGGAGGCGGAGAAGAGGCCGGCGAGCTGCACGCCCCGCTCGGGGGTAGAGGCTGCGCTCTCTTGGCCCTGCACCGCCACGCACCGGGCCCTGCACCGCCACGCACCGGGCCCGGCACCACAACGCACTCGGCCCTGCACCGCCACGCACCGGGCCCTGCACCGCAACGCACCCGGCCCTGCACCGCAACGCACCGGGCCCTGCACCGCCACGCACCCGGCCCTGCACCGCCACGCACCCGGCCCTGCACCGCCACGCACCGGGCCCTGCACCGCCACGCACCGGGCCCTGCACCACAACGCACCCGGCCCTGCACCGCAAAGCACTCGGCGCGGCACCGCCACGCGCCCGGCCCTGCACCACAACGCACCCGGCCCTGCACCGCCACGCGCCCGGCCCTGCACCGCAACGCGGCTTCCCGCCCACCTCGCTGCTCCCGGTGCGGGGAGGGGGCGGCCGGCGCTCCCCAACCTACCTCCGCCGTCTTCATGGTCAGGCTGAAATGTCACAGTCTGGTTATCCAGCAGGACACGGATTGCGTCGTGAGGCTCAAGGAGCCATTGGACCTGGAAGGAGATGGGAGGGGGCCTGAGCCCGACCCGCAGGTGGAGCCGACGCCCAGGAAAGCAGCTGGGAGAGCCCCTGGGGCTGGAAGCTGCGCCCTGGGCCGGGAGGAAGGCGCTGGAGGCCGCGGCCTGAGGTGATGCCAGCCGCCGTCTACCGTGTGCTCGGCAGGGCCAGGCATGGTTTTCGGATTATGCCCTTTAGCTCTTACAACAGCCCGTGAGGCAGGTAATGTCATCCCCATTCTTACTAGGAGAAAACCAAATTAAGTAGTTTCTTCGAAGCCAAGCAGCTGGGAAACCGTGGGGCCAGAGCCCTAATCCACCATCCCCAGGATTTACTCCGGGACAGCTGCGTGGATGGGCTGTG
The DNA here is from genome assembly GCF_000001405.40 of Homo sapiens. Lineage (NCBI taxonomy): Eukaryota > Metazoa > Chordata > Mammalia > Primates > Hominidae > Homo > Homo sapiens. The sequence continues at coordinate 133,810 of NT_187689.1, forward strand.
TCCTCCCTCCCTCCTGCCCGGCTTCCCCTCCTTCGCTCTCTTCCTTCTCCTCGGCCTCAGTATGTGGCTGAAGGTCCCTGTGGGTGGAATGCAGGGAGGTTCCCGGCACCCCTCACTCACCGTGACGGGGCCCAGGCTGCTGGAGCGGTACTGAGCCGCAAAGGCGATGAAGTTGGTGGCCTGGGCTGAGCCAGTCTGGGCGGTGCGGCCCTGAAGCAGGAAGGAGGAGTTCCCGTCTTGGGCCCCGACCAGCAGGAAGTCCCCCAGCCCATTGAAGGTGTAACTGACACCATCCAAGGTGGTGATGTGGGGGTCCCCGAACATCCAGGCTGGAAGGAAAAAAGAGATGCTGCCTCAGCATGACAAATCATGTGTAGGGCTGAGGTTCCTCACTGCAGTCAGGTGCGGCACTTGTCCAGGAGGACTCAGGGTGAGGTTCCTCACTGCAGTCGACTGGGGCACTTGTCCGGGCGGACTCAGCTGGGGAGATGTTCACAGAGCACAGAATCCTCCCCTCAAGCCTCCTTGCATTTTCGTGCCCCGCTATTCTCACTCCTTCCCCAACTCAGGTACAAAGCCCCTCCACTGACCATCCACCCATCACTGGCGTCATCTCCATCTTCCCTTGTGGCCACAGCTCTGCCCCTACTCCTTATCCAGATGCCACCTCCCGGAAGCCCAGAAGCTCCCCCTCCCCAGAGGCTCTTCCTGGGCCTGGGCCCTGTCGCTCACCGGGCTGTGGGGGCCTGTATGTAGCACAGCCCACGTGGGGCCGCCTCTGCTGGTACAGGGCACAGAGGTAGGGCTTGTCATTCCAGCGGCAGCACCAGCTCTGTGGCTCCAGTTCCTGGGCTGCGGAGAACAGCAGTGAGTCGGGGAGGTTGAGGACCTGGAGAAGCTTGGCAGGGCAGGGTGGTGTTGGTTGAGAGCTTGGCAGGGCAGGGCGGTGTTGGTGGAGAGCTTGGCAGGGCAGGGCGGTGTTGGTGGAGAGCTTGGCAGGGCAGGGCGGTGTTGGTGGAGAGCTTGGTAGGGCAGGGCGGTGTTGGTGGCAAGAGCATGGCTTTGGAATCCAGCATGGCCCTTCTCATGACCTTGGGCAGTGAATAGGGTGCTGTCTCTTTTGCAGGCATTGGGGCCACTGTGCAGCAGGGCGCATGGTAGGAGCTAAGCAAATTTCCTGTCTTGAGGGTGGAGAGCCAAGTACTGCTGCTCTCAACGTGCTGGGAGTGGGGAGGGCACGGCTGACGGTCTGGGAACTGTGGAAACTGCCATGGGACGGGGGAGAGAACGGGAGGACACAGACCACGTGACCCCACACCCCTGCGCTCTCCAGCTCCCTTGGAGCGTCTCTGTGGGAGCTGACTCTCAGTCTTCCCCCAAACATCCTGCTCATCTGGGTCTACAGGGACGGGGTCAGCCTAGGCGCTCTCTTCTTGCCTGGAGAAATGGCCCCACTCTGGCCTGGGGATGTGGAGCCAGGTATAGAGATGAGGAAAGAGGCTCTCAGCTCATACATCCCCGAATGTCCGCTGGTGGGGATGTTGGAAGCTTCCTAACGTTACCCGATCAGGAAGTGGAGGCCCAGAGAGGGGAAGGGTCTGGGAAGGAATGAGGACGAGAGGCTTCATGCTGAGGGTCCCCTACTTGGCCGGGAAGGTGGGGTTGAGATCACGGACTCACGCACCCAACTGCCAAGGACGCTGCACGTGCCAGCCTTCACGAAACTCTCCCCAGGGCCCGTAGCTGCAGCACACGCCTCCTCGCCAAGAGGTGAAGCTGCACAGCTGCCTACTGCCGAGGCCCCAGCGACCTGAAACAAGTCCAGTCCCACTCAGGCCCAGGCCGGGGCTGCCAGGGGCGGGGTGGGAACAAGCAGGGGCTGTTTCTGGGGAGAGGCTGAGGGCGTGAGCAGAGAGGGTGGTGGGTGGGCTTGTGGGGGGCGGGAAGGAGGTGTCACCTATGCTGACGGGTTGGAATCGTAAGTCCCGTCGTCCCTGCTGCCAGGAACAAGGGCAGGAGACCTGGTTCCAGCCCCAGCTGGGCCACCGAGGCTGGCTCTTCAGCCACTGCAGGCACTCGAGACGGTAGTTGGGCCTTTCTTCCCGGTGTAGCCTGTAGAACTGCAGCCCTTGGAGGCCTGAGGTCGGGGATGGGGGGGAAAGGGCTTATCCAGGGCTGGGGCTGCAGGCCCTGTCTCAGCTTTAGGGTCAACCAAAACTCACAAATGCACCCCCTCCTGCCACTTCTCACCTCTTTGGACCCAAGTCAGATGGGCAACAATTCCTCCCCCAAAGCCCCTCGCTTGACTTAGCGTCTGCTTCTGACGACCAAACGTGGTTGCCACAGAACAAATAGAACTGGATTTACACTTCACAGTTCACGTGGCTGGTTTCTAAGGCTAAAATGTCCTTCAACCTATCACATTTTGGAAACTATTATTTCTTTCCCATTGGGGCCTCTGGACTGAGTCATGGAGAAGGCGCCATTGTTTGCCTCTTGACGCTTGTCTTTCTACCCGCATGAAAGCTCTTTGAGAGAAAACACAGTTGGTCTTTTTCCTTTGTTTCTGGCTGTTAGCACGGTGTCCAGCACACGGCAGGTGCCCAGTAAATGATGACAATGAACGTGAGACCTCCGGGCCTCTTCTTGGTGGATTCTCTCTTTTTGAGATGGAGTCTCACTCTGTCACCCAGGCTGGAGTGCAGTGGCGCGATCTCGGCTCGCTGCAACCTCCACCTCCCAGGTTCAAACAATTCTCCTGCCTCAACCTATTGAGTAGCTGGAATTACAGGTGTGCACCACAACGTCTGGCTAATTTTTGTATTTTTAGTAGAGACAGAATTTCACCATGTTGGCCAGGCTGGTCTCGAACTCCTGATCTCAAGTGATCCGCCCACCTCAGCCTCCCAAAATGCTGGGATTACAGGTGTGAGCCATGGCGCCCAGCCGGTAGATTTTCTTAAAGGATCTCACCTGGGTTCTCATTCCTGCTCTGGACAGGACACTTGGAGTATTGTCTGAACTGCCCATTCAAATCCCACCTCCCACAAGACCCTGTCCTCACTTCCAGGATCTGGGCCCCCCGAGAGCCCTCTTGGGCTGGTTCATCTGAGGGAGGAGATGTAGCCCCCTCTGAGACTGTGCTGTGTCCAGGGGTGCAGGAGGTGCCAGCTGCTCCCTGGGTGGTGCCACATCCCACCTAGACCTGTAGGAGGTTGAACTGTGTGGGGGAGGCCCTTCAGGATGGCCGTGATGTTAGGGAGGTGCCCTCTAGGACTGCGATGGTGTATGGGCTGGAGGACACGCGAGGGCTTGAGACCAGCTCAGGTGTGATAAGGTGGCACTTTTACCTGAGTTGGAATTCAGGAATCTATCAGGGCGATACCTCTCCCACACTGGCTGGGACATCAGTGGGCTGTTTTCGAAATAGCCATCTCCACTGCAGGAAAGGAGAGACTCTCAGGCCTCTGCCGTGCACAGGCTCTTGCCTCGCGGTTGCAAGGCGTCCATTCATCCCGCTAGCCGGTCAGCAGCTGGTCAACCAGCTAGGCGGGCAGTGGGTCAGTGGGTCAGCCAGCCCCCATTGTCAAGCCCCAGCACTGAGCAGGAGAGGGGACAAGATGGCTGGGCAGAGGTAGGAGGCTCTAACCGATTCCACATCTGATCGCTAGCTGCAAGAAACTGGCAGGTCCGCTTGGTCATGAGACAGGGGCGTGAAAACAACAGAGTTCAGGCCTCATTTCTGTTTGTTTCCCTTCAACAAGCAGAGGGTTTGGAGCGGGACAGACTCTAGGGACAGTGTATTGTGATGGTTAAGACCCAGTTTCTGGAGTTAGGCAGTGATGGATTCAACTGCTGATCCCCCCACTTACTAGCTTGGTGACCACAGACAAGTTACTGACCCTCTCTGATTCTTAGTTTTCACATCTGTATAAAAGGGATTACAGTGGCATCTACCTCACTGTATTGTGAGGATTAAATGCAGTAACATCTGCAAATCCCTCAGAACTGAGTGAGGCCTTGATACAACAGATGCTGCCACTGCTGCCACCACCACCACCACCATCGCCAGCACTACCACCACCACCACCATCATCGTCACCACCAACACTACCATCACCATCACCATCACCACCACCACCACCAACACTACCACCACCATCACCATCACCACCACCATCACCATCACCACCACCATCACCATCACCACCATCATTGCCACCACCATCATCACCACCATCACCACCACCACCACCATCACCACCACCACCATCGCCACCATCACCCCCAACACCACCACCATCACCACCATCACCACCACCATCACCACCATCACCACCACCATCGCCACCACCATCACCACCACCACTGCCACCTCCACCGCCACTACCACCACCACCACCACCACCACCACCACCACCACTATCGCCATCACCGTCCCCAGGTGTGGGGTCCGAGCATGGCCCGGGAAGGAGGAAAGCCTGGAGCAGCCGCCTGCAGCCCCACCCTGGGTGCCTGCTGCAGAGTGGGGACTCTTGGGCTTTTCCTCCTCCCTGACACAAGCAGGATGATGCACCCCTGCGTGACACCTTCCTTGGGTGTACCTGGACCGTGTGAAATTCCTAGAGTTGGGTAATTCCCCTCCTTTCTCCTTCATAGCACACCAAGAAACTAGTGAAAGCAGTGTAATCAAAGGGGTAACCTGAACACACTCAATGTAAGAGAAGACATTTGCAGCAATTATCAAGAACAAAAGACATGTGGCCTTCGTACTGATTGCCACACCCCAGCATATGGGAACAGAGATGGCGCACTGCTACATCGGAGACAGCCTCCCACACACGGGAATCCACATTTCAACCGCCCACAGCCCCGTGCCTCCTCTCTCCCTTCACCACCGGCTCCATATAAGCTTTTGGGTGCCCCCTGGATAAGTGGGTAATTCTCAGGAAGTCAGGAAGGCAGATTCTAGCCTCAGATGTCTGGGTTCAAATCTCCATGTTGCCACTTCCCAGCTCTGGGACTTTAGGCAAATTGCTAGTCTATTTGTATCTCAGTTTCCTGATCTGTAGAATGGGGATGATAAATAGTATCTGCCTCGTGGGGTGGCTGTGATCATGACATGCAGTAATGTACACGAAGTGTTAGTGTCATCAGTCTTGGCTGTTATTATCACGATATTTGAGAAGGTAAGAGAGGCCAGCTAATGTCAGTGGAAATCAGGGAAGCCAAAGCTCTGGGAATGATTACAACTCACGGGGACTGGGATGGGAAAGGGCATGGCGGACAAATGGGTGATCTTGTCATGGGAAGCAGCCAGATGCCTGGCCCCAGCGGGAGCTGGAGTCAGCGTGAGTCAGAAGCACCAGCCAGGAGGGTTCCCGCCTTGCCCCAGGATGGGAGTGTGTGTGCAGCGAAAGCCGACTCTACACCCCTCCCTGCCAACTGCTCAGTGCTGACAGCCCCTCCCATCCTACCTAGAGAAGCCCATGAGCACCGGGTTGCCTGAGCGCTGGGCCACGTCCCACTGCATCCCACCGCTCTGGTAGAGAAACAGGGCATAGGACCTGCTCCCGTCCGTGGAGAGGATGGCTTGGTAGGTGTTGCTCTGGGGGTGGGTGGAAGAAAACACAGGGATGCCCGTGAGAGATCCGGGGTCTCCTCTCTTATGTCCCCCCGCCCGTCCCACAGCCCTGCTCTGACACGCACAGCACCTGTTCCTGGTCTGCCCACAGCAAAGACATGGGCCCAAAATGCTGGCAAGTTTTGGGTCAGTGAGGGCAGCTTTCACCCTGGGTGCGAACGCACTTACCACGGTGGATTTGCCTTTTGGTGACTTTCTTCCAGGAGGGGAGATAAAGGGTTCTGGGTTACAATTCAGTTAGATGAGTGTTTGTTAGAGAAAGCTACCAGAACCTGAGATCAGCCAAGATACCAGAGAGCTAGAGAGGAGGCTTCATTAGCTCCCGCGCGGATATTTAAGGACATTGCCCAAATTGTCTCCTCCATCTAAACAGCATGGATGACACTGGGGTTCACTGAAGGCGCACACGTTGTCCACAGTAGGTGACCAGTGAACTTTTGTCGAGTGAATGAAGAAATGAGTGACTTTAGACCAGGCATAAGGAAGAACTTGGTGACTACAAGAGCGGGGTCCTCGGAGGGAGGACAGAGGAGATGGTGTGGCGCACCCTGTGCCCGTTGGATGAGCCTGTGCTTCAGAGCCAGAGGCTGGAGTCAGAAGAAGCTCCACTCAGGCCTGGCTTTGCCATTTGCCAGCGGCGTGACTCTGAACGAGTTACTTAACCTCTCTAACCATTGTCTTCCTCATCTGTAAAATGGGGAGCATAATACCAGACTGAGCCACGTGAAATTGTGAATAGCCAGACATTTTTGACTTACAAAAATGCCACTTGCTATGTTTCAGCCTAATAATACCCGGTTTGCTGGGCTGCTGTGAGGTCAAGTAGGCAAAGGGCCGAGACAGGCCGGGCCCACGGTGAGTGCTCAGCCAACAGTGGTGGCAGTGGGGGGGTGGCGGTGGGGGGGCTTGCTATAATTAGCAATCTTTCCTAGAGCCAGAGAGGATTTTGGAAGAGTGGCCCCTGCCTAGGATTCTAGGATGTCTGACTCCCAGATAGCTCCTGGGAGCTGCCCAGGGGTCTACTCACCCCGAGGGTCCACTGGGCAGGATAGGCGTGGGCACTGACCCACGTGACCTTTAGGGTCCACCTGGCCTTGTAGCCCCCGTTGTTTGTGATCTTTCTAATCCAAGACTCGGCCTGCTGGACTAGCAGGCTGTGTTCACCATAGAACGTCTCGTATTCCTAGGAAAGGAGGGCAGATGAAAACAAGCCAACGAGGGTCCCACTCCTACACATGGGCCCCCCACTTTCTGCCTGAGGACCCTGCCCACTTCAGCCCACCCAATGGCCTGCCCTCCCCTGTCCCAGGCCTGCATTTTTGCCGTGAGCTTTTCTGAGGTGAAGTTCAATTCAAACTTGGGCTGCAGGAAGGCCTGCAGTGTGCAGAATGCAGGGTCGTGGCCCAGACGTCCAAGACCTCTGGACTTGAACTCAAGCATCTTAGCTCAAACTGGCCCAGAGAGCAGAGCCACTCGGGCCCACTTTTACCTCCCCATGCCTAATCTGCAGCTTCTTGAGAACAGGCGTGAGTCTCTTCCTCTTGGAGCCTCCACACTGCCCTGTCCGTGGCAGGGGCACGGTCCACACTTCCTGCAGTAGCTTTCATCACATTTCCTCTGATTGGAGTTATTCACCCAGTCCAGGAGCACAGGACGGGCCCTCTTGACTCACTCTTGTTAGGATAGACCCCCTACAGCCTGATTTTACAATCAAAGGCTGAATTGTCAGCCCCCATCCCCCGTCACCTGCAGGTCTTCTCGTGGCCGGGTTGGGGTATTCCTGGTCAGTCTCGCGGCCGGGTTGGGGTATTCCTGGTCAGTCTCGCGGCCGGGTTGGGGTATTCCTGGTCAGTCTCGCGGCCGGGTTGGGGTATTCCTGGTCAGTCTCGTGGCCGGGTTGGGGTATTCCTGGTCAGTCTCGTGGTTGGGTTGGGGTATTCCTGGTCAGTCTCGTCGTTGGGTTGGGGTATTCCTGGTCAGTCTCGCGGCCGGGTTGGGGTATTCCTGGTCAGTCTCGCGGCCGGGTTGGGGTATTCCTGGTCAGTCTCGCGGCCGGGTTGGGGTATTCCTGGTCAGTCTCGCGGCCGGGTTGGGGTATTCCTGGTCAGTCTCGCGGCCGGGTTGGGGTATTCCTGGTCAGTCTCGTGGCCGGGTTGGGGTATTCCTGGTCAGTCTCGTGGCCGGGTTGGGGTATTCCTGGTCAGTCTCGTGGCCGGGTTGGGGTATTCCTGGTCAGTCTCGCGGCCGGGTTGGGGTATTCCTGGTCAGTCTCGCGGCCGGGTTGGGGTATTCCTGGTCAGTCTCGTGGTTGGGTTGGGGTATTCCTGGTCAGTCTCGTGGCTGGGTTGGGGTATTCCTGGTCAGTCTCGTGGTTGGGTTGGGGTATTCCTGGTCAGTCTCGCGGCCGGGTTGGGGTATTCCTGGTCAGTCTCGTGGTTGGGTTGGGGTATTCCTGGTCAGTCTCGTGGTTGGGTTGGGGTATTCCTGGTCAGTCTCGCGGCCGGGTTGGGGTATTCCTGGTCAGTCTCGTGGTTGGGTTGGGGTATTCCTGGTCAGTCTCGTGGTTGGGTTGGGGTATTCCTGGTCAGTCTCGTGGTTGGGTTGGGGTATTCCTGGTCAGTCTCGTGGTTGGGTTGGGGTATTCCTGGTCAGTCTCGTGGTTGGGTTGGGGTATTCCTGGTCAGTCTCGCGGCCGGGTTGGGGTATTCCTGGTCAGTCTCGTGGTTGGGTTGGGGTATTCCTGGTCAGTCTCGTGGTTGGGTTGGGGTATTCCTGGTCAGTCTCGTGGTTGGGTTGGGGTATTCCTGGTCAGTCTCGCGGCCGGGTTGGGGTATTCCTGGTCAGTCTCGTGGTTGGGTTGGGGTATTCCTGGTCAGTCTCGTGGTTGGGTTGGGGTATTCCTGGTCAGTCTCGTGGTTGGGTTGGGGTACTCCTGAGTCAGCTTAATGTCCCTTGACTGCTTCCTCCCACACCCATATTTAAGCCTCAGTCCCCTGCTGCAGGGGCTGTCACAGCAGCAACTCTGGCAAAGCCTTCCACACAGCTCTTTGTCTCCCCTGCCAGCTGCTGGGGGATCCTGACTGCCAGGCTTTGAAAGGCTCACCTGATAAAATGTGGTCCCCCGACCAGTGGAGAAGTCAGCATCGTCCCAGAACGGAGCCACCAGGGCCACAGGGTCCCGGCCTGTGAAGCCTGTTGGGAGTGGGTTGGGGTAGGAGAAAATCTGGTAGTCTGACTCTGGGAAGATGATCTGGCCATTGTCTGTGAACTGAGCACATGGGTTTTGTGGTCAGCATTCAGGGAGGGAAGTGGGGAGGAAAGTCCCAGCCTTGGTCCAGCTCCTCAAAAGCGTGACCCCCAAGGGTAGAGCTTTAGAGATGCTAACAACCCCTGGAAGTCACCTCCTGTGTCCTGTTTTGGGGAGAGCCCTTTCCATATAATCTCACAGAATGCTCCGCCCTCAGGCCATCCCTTGCGTCCTCGGGTGGTAGGCTTGGTCCTGTTTCACTGCAGATCCCTGGCTGTGGACCAGCCCCTCACAGGCACACCCCTCTTGGCCAGTCCCCTGGGCCCCATCCTGAAGTTTGCGACACATTAGGTGGGGCTCAGGGAGTGGAACCCTCTCTCCATCGCTCAGGGGGTGGAGCCCTCCCTCCATCGCTCAGTGGGTGGAGCCCTCCCTCCATCGCTCAGGGGTGTAGACACCCTCTCTCCATCGCTCAGGGGTGCAGACACCCCATCTCCATCACTTAGGGGGTGGAACCCTCTATCTATTGCTCAGCAGGTGTAGACACCCTCTCTCCATCGCTCAGGGGTGTAGACACCCTCCCTTCATCGCTCAGGGGTGTAGACACCCTCCCTTCATCGCTCAGGGGTGTAGACACCCTCTCTCCATCGCTCAGGGGTGTAGACACCCTCTCTCCATCGCTCAGGGGTGTAGACACCCTCTCTCCATCGCTCAGGGGTGCAGACACCCCATCTCCATCACTTAGGGGGTGGAAACCTCTCTCTATCACTCAGCAGGTGTGGACACCCTCTCTCCATCGCTCAGGGGTGTAGACACCCTCCCTTCATCGCTCAGGGGTGTAGACATCCTCTCTCCATCGCTCAGGGGTGTAGACAACCTCTCTCCATCGCTCAGGGGTGTAGACACCCCCTCTCCATCGCTCAGGGGTGTAGACACCCCCTCTCCATCGCTCAGGGGTGTGGACACCCTCTCCATCTCTCAGAGGTGTAGACACCCCCTCTCCATCGCTCAGGGATGTAGACACCCCCTCTCCATCGCTCAGGGGTGTAGACACCCCCTCTCCATCGCTCAGGGGTGTAGACACCCCCTCTCCATCGCTCAGGGGTGTAGACACCCTCCCTTCATCGCTCAGGGGTGCTCAGGGCTATAGACACCCTCCCTTCATCGCTCAGGGGTGTAGACACCCTCTCTCCATCGCTCAGGGGTGTAGACACCCTCTCTCCATCGCTCAGGGGTGTAGACACCCTCTCTCCATCGCTCAGGGGTGTGGACACCCTCTCTCCATCGCTCAGGGGTGTAGACACCCTCCCTTCATCGCTCAGGGGTGTGGACACCCTCTCTATCGTTCGGGGTGTAGACATCCTCTCTCCATCGCTCAGGGGTGTAGACACCCCCTCTCCATCGCTCAGGGGTGTAGACACCCTCTCTCCATCGCTCAGGGGTGCAGACACCCCATCTCCATCACTTAGGGGGTGGAAACCTCTCTCTATCGCTCAGCAGGTGTAGACACCCTCTCTCCATCGCTCAGGGGTGCAGACACCCCATCTCCATCACTTAGGGGGTGGAAACCTCTCTCTATCGCTCAGCAGGTGTAGGCACCCCCCTCCATCGCTCAGGGGTGTAGACACCCTCTCTCCATCACTCAGGGGTGCAGACACCCCATCTCCATCACTTAGGGGGTGGAAACCTCTCTCTCACTCAGCAGGTGTGGACACCCTCTCTCCATCGCTCAGCAGGTGTGGACACCCTCTCTCTATTGCTCAGCAGGTGTGGACACCCTCTCGCCATCGCTCAGCAGGTGTGGACACCCTCTCTCTATCGCTCAGCAGGTGTGGACACCCTCTCGCCATCGCTCAGCAGGTGTGGACACCCTCTCGCCATCGCTCAGCAGGTGTGGACACCCTCTCGCCATCGCTCAGCAGGTGTGGACACCCTCTCTCTATCGCTCAGCAGGTGTGGACACCCTCTCCATCGCTCAGTCGCCCTCTCATGCTGTGTTCGGACTCAGCCTCCTCCCTCAGGGCCACAGGAGCCAGGACTGTCCCTCCAACTCTGCTCCAGGAGGCAGGGACCAGGGGGCCAGAGACGAATCCCAGAAGGTGGAAACGGCAGGAACAGTCCAGTTTCCCAAGTGTAGCTTTTTACTCCTGAGAAGGCCCCGCAGAAGCAGCGGTGGGCCCAGCAGGTGGGCAGCCCTCGCCTGGCACCCTGTGTTCCTCAGGCAGAGGCCTGACATTAAGGAGGCTGTGGGGATGGACGAGGGGCCCAGCCAAGGCTGCTTCCATTCCCGCTTCCTCTGGGTTCCGTCTCGAAGCAGGAGAGAGAAGTGGGCCCTGGGAGTTCAGGCTGCGCGGGCCGCAGCCCGGACTCACGTAGAGGGAATCACGGAGAGAGGAGCCAAGGGGGAAGCCAGTCGCCGGCTTGAAGAGTGGGGAGGTGAAGTCCACGGTCCTCCTGACGAACTCCAGGTCCCCGGCGTCTGCCCCATAGGGGAAGAGGGAAACTCCTGGGCCAGGACAGAGAAGAGCAGGAAGTCCAAGTGGGCCTGGGCCTTCTTTAGGGCTGAAAGGGATCCCAGAGCGCTCCCCGCAGGCTGCCCACACCTGTCCTGTGTTCCCCGAGGGCCCCAGAGGCAGCCATCTAGGGTGCTTCTCGCTCCCTCTCCACCCACATTAAATGCATGTGGTCATTTTACTCCCTAAACTGCGCCTCTCATCCTTCCCCAGCTTGGAGAAAAACAGGTCCTGCTGTCAGAATACCAGCAAACGATTCTCAATCTCTTAGTCTCAATCCTTTTCAGGGTTAAAAGACAAAAGTCTATGCTGGGTGCGGTGGCTCACGCCTGTAATCCCAGCACTTTGGGAGGCTGAGGCGGGAGGATCACGAGGTCAGGAGTTCGAGACCAGCCTGACCAACATGGAGAAGCCCTGTCTCTACTTAAAATACAAAAATTAGCCGGGTGTGGTGGCGCATGCCTGTAATCCCAGCCACTCGGGAGGCTGAGGCAGGAGAATTGCTTGAACCCGGGAGGCTGAGGTTCCAGTGAGCTGAGATCGCGCCACTGCACTCCAGCCTGGGCAACAAGAGCGAAAACTCCATCTCAAAAAAAAAAAAAAAAAATAGACAAAAGTCCAGCGCAATGAAGATGAGTAACTGCAAAGCCCTTTTCAGGGAATGAGACTTGTTTCCTAAGACGGCCTTTCTCCAGATAAACTTGAAGACTCCTCCAATTTAACCTAGGACTCCCTAGAGGCCCTCGGGCTCCAGTGTGAGAAACCTTGTCCCAAATATTTCTCGCAGCTGCCGACTCCTTGGCGCCCTCCCCTGGTCCTGCTTGGAAACCCGCAGGCTCTCCTGGCCTCCTCACTGCCTGCAAATCGGACCGCTCCAGGCACCACTTGTTAAATGCCATTTGTACAATGCAAAACTGAGTCCTCCCTGGCTCCCGTTGCCTACAGGATTCCCCGCATGCCGGCCGCACTTTTTGCTACCCTTCTTCTCATTTTCAGCCACCCCAAATGCTTCGGGGATCCACTCCCCATGCAGCACCGGGACGACTTTCTGCAGCCATACCTACCACACTCGTACCTTCCACGGCCATACCTTCCACACCCATACCTTCCACAGTCATACCTTCCACACCCATACCTTCCACACCCATACCTTCCACGCCCATACCTTCCACACCCATACCTTCCACACCCATACCTTCCACAGTCATACCTTCCACGGCCATACCTTCCACACCCATACCTTCCACACCCATACCTTCCACACCCATACCTTCCACGCCCATACCTTCCACACCCATACCTTCCACGGCCATACCTTCCACACCCATACCTTCCACAGTCATACCTTCCACACCCATACCTTCCACACCCATACCTTCCACACCCATACCTTCCACGCCCATACCTTCCACGGCCATACCTTCCACAGTCATACCTTCCACACCCATACCTTCCACACCCATACCTTCCACACCCATACCTTCCACGGCCATACCTTCCACACCCATACCTTCCACAGTCATACCTTCCACACCCATACCTTCCACACCCATACCTTCCACACCCATACCTTCCACGGCCATACCTTCCACACCCATACCTTCCACAGTCATACCTTCCACACCCATACCTTCCACACCCATACCTTCCACGCCCATACCTTCCACACCCATACCTTCCACAGTCATACCTTCCACAGTCATACCTTCCACACCCATACCTTCCACAGTCATACCTTCCACACCCATACCTTCCACAGTCATACCTTCCACAGTCATACCTTCCACAGTCATACCTTCCACGCCCATACCTTCCACAGTCATACCTTCCACACCCATACCTTCCACAGTCATACCTTCCACAGTCATACCTTCCACGCCCATACCTTCCACAGTCATACCTTCCACACCCATACCTTCCACAGTCATACCTTCCACAGTCATACCTTCCACAGTCATACCTTCCACACCCATACCTTCCACAGTCATACCTTCCACACCCATACCTTCCACAGTCATACCTTCCACAGTCATACCTTCCACACCCATACCTTCCACAGTCATACCTTCCACACCCATACCTTCCACAGTCATACCTTCCACAGTCATACCTTCCACACCCATACCTTCCACACCCATACCTTCCACACCCATACCTTCCACAGTCATACCTTCCACGCCCATACCTTCCACAGTCATACCTTCCACACCCTTACCTTCCACAGTCATACCTTCCACGGCCATACCTTCCACACCCTTACCTTCCACACCCATACCTTCCACACCCATACCTTCCACACCCATACCTTCCACAGTCATACCTTCCACACCCATACCTTCCACAGTCATACCTTCCACACCCATACCTTCCACACCCATACCTTCCACAGTCATACCTTCCACACCCATACCTTCCACAGTCATACCTTCCACACCCATACCTTCCACACCCATACCTTCCACACCCATACCTTCCACGGCCATACCTTCCACACCCATACCTTCCACACCTTTGTTCCAGCTGTTCCCGCCCTCCTCCCTGCCTGGGGTGCTCCTCCATCCCCGGCTCTGCATTCCTTAGGGCCTTCCATTGTGTGCACTTAGACCCTGGGATGAGTCCTCTAACCGCCGCTACCGGACCGTCCATCTATCCCTTGCTGAATGGCACTGGGGTCATTTCTCTGTCTCCAGCTCCTGGCCCAGTGCCATGCACAAAGCCAGCCCTCAGGAGCGACTCCGATGCTGTGTCCCTGTCCTCGGTAAGGCTCTCCCCACCCGAGAGAGCAGAGACTGTGGGAAGTAGGCTGAGAGGGAGCCTTCACTTACATCACCCCTCAAAAGGCACAGGCCTCACCTGTATGGCCTCACCTCTCTCAGGCAGGATGGGGATGGGGGCAGCTGTGGAGCGGGTGTGCATGGCAGTGCTGGGAATGGTGGAAATGATGGTCTGGGAGGTTGTGGGGGGTGGTGATGTGGCTGTGCGTCTCCCACCGTCTGTCTTCAGTGACGGTGTTGTCATTCCTGGACACGTGAAAAGACAAGGCGGGGTGTTTCTTACAGTAACAAAACAGGAGAGTCAAAGAGATTCAAAGAAATCAGGAGCTGGAAGAGAGAGCTGGAAACTCCTTGTCTCTCCCCTGCTCATATCCAAACTACTCTCGACATCAGTGCTTTTCGATTGCGGCACAAAGGAGGGTGAGCCTGTCACCCACCACACCCATCACCTCCTCCCCTGTGGGACCTGACACGGCCCCACCAGGTAATGCGAATGCACCAGTGTTCTCAGGTACTCCTTAGGCTGAATTCCGCCAAGGGGCCCACTGGGAGACATAAAGGCGAGGCAGTTGGCAGCTACCTGATGTTTCCATCTTCAGAGGGGAGTCCGAGGATACTGTGGAAGCTGAGGTAGCACTGCTGACAGCAAGAGGGGTGGTGTGACCTGTGGATACTGAGGAAAGGCTGGTGACAGGAAGAGGGGTGGCCTGACCTGTGGATGCTGAGGAAGTGTCGGTGACAGGAAGAGGGGTGGTGTCACCTGTGGATGCTGAGGAAGTGTCGGTGACAGGAAGAGGCGTGGCGTGACCTGTGGACACTGAGGAAGCGTCGGTGACAGGAAGAGGGGTGGCGTGACCTGTGGATGCTGAGGAAGTGCTGGTGACAGGAAGAGGGGTGGTGTGACCTGTAGATGCTGAGGAAGGGCTGGTGACAGGAAGAGGGGTGGTGTGACCTGTGGATGCTGAGGAAGTGCTGGTGACAGGAAGAGGGGTGGCGTGACCTGTAGATGCTGAGGAAGGGCTGGTGACAGGAAGAGGGGTGGCGTGACCTGTGGATGCTGAGGAAGGGCTGGTGACAGGAACAGGGGTGGCGTGACCGGTGGATGCTGAGGAAGTGCTGGTGACAGGAAGAGGGGTGGCGTGACCTGTGGATGCTGAGGAAGGGCTAGTGACAGGAAGAGGCATGGTGTCACCTGTGGATACTGAGGAAGTGTTGGTGACAGGAAGAGGGGTGGCCTGACCTGTGGATGCCGAGGAAATGTCGGTGACAGGAAGACGGGTGGTGTCACCTGTGGAAGCTGAGGAAAGGCCGGTGACAGGAAGAGGGGTGGCGTGACCTGTGGATACTGAGGAAGTGTCGGTGACAGGCACAGGGGTGGTGTCACCTGTGGATGCTGAGGAAGGGCTGGTGACATGAAGAGGGGTGGTGTCACCTGTGGATGCTGAGGAAGTGTCGGTGACATGAAGAGGGGTGGCATGACCTGTGGATACTGAGGAAGTCTCGGTGACAAGAAGAGGGGTGGTGTCACCTGTGGATGATGAGGAAGTGTCGGTGACAAGAAGAGAGGTGGTGTCACCTGTGGATGCTGAGGAAGTCTCGGTGACAGGAAGAGAGGTGGCATGACCGGTGGATGCTGAGGAAGGGCTAGTGACAGGAAGAGGCGTGGTGTCACCTGTGGATACTGAGGAAAGGCTGGTGACAGGAAGAGGGGTGGCCTGACCTGTGGATGCTGAGGAAGCGTCGGTGACAAGAAGAGGAGTGGCGTGACCTGTGGATGCTGAGGAAGGGCTAGTGACAGGAAGAGGCGTGGTGTCACCTGTGGATACTGAGGAAAGGCTGGTGACAGGAAGAGGGGTGGCCTGACCTGTGGATGCTGAGGAAGTGTCGGTGACAGGAAGAGGGGTGGTGTCACCTGTGGATGCTGAGGAAGTGCTGGTGACAGGAAGAGCGGTGGCCTGACCTGTGGATGCTGAGGAAGTGTCGGTGACAGGAAGAGGGGTGGTGTGACCTGTGGATGCTGAGGAAGGGCTAGTGACAGGAAGAGGCGTGGTGTCACCTGTGGATACTGAGGAAAGGCTGGTGACAGGAAGAGGGGTGGCGTGACCTGTGGATGCTGAGGAAGTGTCGGTGACAGGAAGCGGGGTGGCGTGACCGGTGGATGCTGAGGAAGGGCTGGTGACATGAAGAGGGTTGGCGTGACCTGTGGATGCTGAGGAAGTGTCGGTGACAGGAAGCGGGGTGGCGTGACTGGTGGATGCTGAGGAAGGGTTGGTGACAGGAAGAGGGGTGGCGTGACCTGTGGATGCTGAGGAAGTGTTGGTGACAGGAAGAGGGGTGGCGTGACCTGTGGATGCTGAGGAAGTGTCGGTGACAGGAAGAGGGGTGGTGTCACCTGTGGATGCTGAGGAAGTGCTGGTGACAGGAAGAGGGGTGGCATGACCTGTGGATACTGAGGAAGCGTCGGTGACAGGAACAGGGGTGGCGTGACCTGTGGATGCTGAGGAAGGGCTGGTGACATGAAGAGGGGTGGCATGACCTGTGGATGCTGAGGAAGTGTCGGTGACAGGAAGAGGGCGTGGTGTCACCTGTGGATGCTGAGGAAGTGTCAGTGACAGGAAGAGGGGTGGCGTGACCTGTGGATGCTGAGGAAGTGTCGGTGACAGGAAGAGGGGTGGTTGTCACCCTGTGGATGCTGAGGAAGTGCTGGTGACAGGAAGAGCGGTGGCGTGACCTGTGGATGCTGAGGAAGTGTCGGTGACAGGAAGAGGGGTGGTGTGACCTGTGGATGCTGAGGAAGGGCTAGTGACAGGAAGAGGCGTGGTGTCACCTGTGGATACTGAGGAAAGGCTGGTGACAGGAAGAGGGGTGGCGTGACCTGTGGATGCTGAGGAAGTGTCGGTGACAGGAAGCGGGGTGGCGTGACCGGTGGATGCTGAGGAAGGGCTGGTGACATGAAGAGGGTTGGCGTGACCTGTGGATGCTGAGGAAGTGTCGGTGACAGGAAGCGGGGTGGCGTGACTGGTGGATGCTGAGGAAGGGCTGGTGACATGAAGAGGGGTGGCGTGACCTGTGGATATTGAGGAAGTGTCGGTGACAGGAAGAGGGGTGGCGTGACCTATGGATGCTGAGGAAGTGTCGGTGACAGGAAGAAGGGTGGCGTGACCTGTGGATGCTGAGGAAGTGTCGGTGACAGGAAGAGGGGTGGCGTGACCTGTGGATGCTGAGGAAGTGTCGGTGTCAGGAAGAGGGGTGGCGTGACCTGTGGATGCTGAGGAAGTGTCGGTGACAGGAAGAGAGGTGGCGTGACCTGTGGATGCTGAGGAAGTGTCGGTGACAGGAAGAGGGGTGGTGTCACCTGTGGATACTGAGGAAAGGCTGGTGACAGGAAGAGGGGTGGCCTGACCTGTGGATGCTGAGGAAGTGTCGGTGACAGGAAGAGGCGTGGTGTCACCTGTGGATACTGAGGAAAGGCTGGTGAGAGGAAGAGGGGTAGCGTGACCTGTGGACACTGAGGAAGCGTCGGTGACAGGAAGAGGGGTGGCGTGACCTGTGGACACTGAGGAAGCGTCGGTGACAGGAAGAGAGGTGGCGTGACCTGTGGACACTGAGGAAGCGTCGGTGACAGGAAGAGGGGTGGTGTGACCTGTGGATGCTGAGGAAGGGCTGGTGACATGAAGAGGGGTGGCGTGACCTGTGGATACTGAGGAAGTGTTGGTGACAGGAAGAGGGGTGGCGTGACCTGTGGATGCTGAGGAAGTGTCGGTGACAGGAAGAGGGGTGGTGTCACCTGTGGATGCTGAGGAAGTGCTGGTGACAGGAAGAGGGGTGGCATGACCTGTGGATACTGAGGAAGCGTCGGTGACAGGAACAGGGGTGGCGTGACCTGTGGATGCTGAGGAAGGGCTGGTGACATGAAGAGGGGTGGCATGACCCTGTGGATGCTGAGGAAGTGTCGGTGACAGGAAGAGGGGTGGCGTGACCTGTGGATGCTGAGGAAGTGTCAGTGACAGGAAGAGAGGTGGCGTGACCTGTGGATGCTGAGGAAGTGTCGGTGACAGGAAGAGGGGTGGCGTGACCTGTGGATGCTGAGGAAGTGTCAGTGACAGGAAGAGAGGTGGCGTGACCTGTGGATGCTGAGGAAGTGTCGGTGACAGGAAGAGGGGTGGTGTCACCTGTGGATGCTGAGGAAGGGCTGGTGACAGGAAGAGGGGTGGTGTCACCTGTGGATAATGAGGAAGCATCGGTGACATGAAGAGCGGTGGCGTGACCTGTGGATACTGAGGAAGCGTCGGTGACAAGAAGAGAGGTGGCGTGACCTGTGGATACTGAGGAAGCGTCGGTGACAAGAAGAGGGGTGGTGTGACCTGTGGATGCTGAGGAAGGGCTAGTGACAGGAAGAGGCGTGGTGTCACCTGTGGATACTGAGGAAAGGCTGGTGACAGGAAGAGGGGTGTCCTGACCTGTGGATGCTGAGGAAGTATCGGTGACAGGAAGCGGTGTGGTGTCACCAGTGGATGATGCTGAGGAAAGGCTGGTGACAGGAAGAGGGGTGGCGTGACCTGTGGATGCTGAGGAAGGGCTGGTGACAGTAAGAGGGGTGGCGTGACCTGTGGATACTGAGGAAGCATTGGTGACAGGAAGAGGGGTGGCCTGACCTGTGGATGCTGAGGAAGCGTCGGTGACAAGAAGAGGAGTGGCGTGACCTGTGGATGCTGAGGAAGGGCTGGTGACAGTAAGAGGGGTGGCGTGACCTGTGGATGCTGAGGAAGCGCTGGTGACAGGAAGAGGGGTGGCCTGACCTGTGGATGCTGAGGAAGTGTCGGTGACAGGAAGAGGGGTGGTGTCACCTGTGGATGCTGAGGAAGTGCTGGTGAGAGGAAGAGAGGTGGCGTGACCTGTGGATGCTGAGGAAGTGCTGGTGACAGGAAGAGGGGTGGCGTGACCTGTGGATGCTGAGGAAGTGTCGGTGACAGGAAGAGGGGTGGCGTGACCTGTGGATACTGAGGAAGTGTCGGTGACAGGAAGAGGGGTGGCATGACCTGTGGATGCTGAGGAAGTGTCGGTGACAGGAAGAGGGGTGGCGTGACCTGTGGATACTGAGGAAGTGTCGGTGACAGGAAGAGAGGTGGCGTGACCTGTGGATGCTGAGGAAGTGCTGGTGACAGGAAGAGGGGTGGCCTGACCTGTGGATGCTGAGGAAGTGTCGGTGACAGGAAGAGGGGTGGTGTCACCTGTGGATACTGAGGAAGTGTCGGTGACAGGAAGAGGGGTGGTGTCACCTGTAGATGCTGAGGAAGTGTCGGTGACAGGAAGAGGGGTGGTGTCACCTGTGGATAATGAGGAAGCATCGGTGACATGAAGAAGGGTGGCGTGACCTGTGGATGCTGAGGAAGGGCTAGTGACAGGAAGAGGGGTGGTGTCATCTGTGGACACTGAGGAAGCGTCGGTGACAAGAAGAGAGGTGGTGTCACCTGTGGATGCTGAGGAAGGGCTGGTGACAGGAAGAGGGGTGGCGTCACCTGTGGATAATGAGGAAGGGCTAGTGTCAGGAAGAGGCGTGGTGTCACCTGTGGATGCTGAGGAAGGGCTGGTGACAGGCAGAGGGGTGGCCTGACCTGTGGATGCTGAGGAAGCATCGGTGACAAGAAGAGGGGTGGTGTCACCTGTGGATACTGAGGAAAGGCTGGTGACAGGAAGAGGCGTGGTGTCACCTGTGGATGCTGAGGAAGTGTCGGTGACAGGAAGAGGGGTAGCGTGACCTGTGGACACTGAGGAAGCGTCGGTGACAGGAAGAGGGGTGGTGTCACCTGTGGACACTGAGGAAGGGCTGGTGACAGGAAGAGGGGTGGCGTGACCTGTGGATAATGAGGAAGCGTCGGTGACATGAAGAGGGGTGGCGTGACCTGTGGATACTGAGGAAGCGTCGGTGACAAGAAGAGAGGTGGCGTGACCTGTGGATACTGAGGAAGCGTCGGTGACAGGAAGAGGGGTGGTGTGACCTGTGGATGCTGAGGAAGTGTCGGTGACAGGAAGAGGGGTGGTGTCACCTGTGGATACTGAGGAAAGGCTGGTGACAGGAAGAGAGGTGGCGTGACCTGTGGACACTGAGGAAGCGTCGGTGACAGGAAGAGGGGTGCTGTCACCTGTGGATGCTGAGGAAAGGCTGGTGACAGGAAGAGGGGTGGCGTGTCCTGTGGATGCTGAGGAAGTGTCGGTGACAAGAAGAGGGGTGGCGTGACCTGTGGATGCTGAGGAAGGGCTGGTGACAGGAAGAGGGGTGGCCTGACCTGTGGATGCTGAGGAAGGGCTGGTGACATGAAGAGGGGTGGCGTGACCTGTGGATGCTGAGGAAGTGTCGGTGACAGGAAGAGAGGTGGCGTGACTTGTGGATGCTGAGGAAGTGTCGGTGACAGGAAGAGAGGTGGCGTGGCCTGTGGATACTGAGGAAGTGTCGGTGACAGGAAGAGGGGTGGTGTCACCTGTGGATGCTGAGGAAGGGCTGGTGACAGGAAGAGGGGTGGTGTCACCTGTGGATAATGAGGAAGCATCGGTGACATGAAGAGGGGTGGCGTGACCTGTGGATACTGAGGAAGCGTCGGTGACAAGAAGAGAGGTGGCGTGACCTGTAGATACTGAGGAAGTGTCGGTGACAGGAAGAGGGGTGGCGTGACCTGTGGATGCTGAGGAAGGGCTGGTGACAGGAAGAGGGGTGGCATGACCTGTGGACACTGAGGAAGCGTCGGTGACAGGAAGAGGGGTGGCGTGACCTGTGGACACTGAGGAAGCGTCGGTGACAGGAAGAGAGGTGGCGTGACCTGTGGGTACTGAGGAAGCGTCGGTGACAGGAAGAGGGGTGGTGTGACCTGAGGATGCTGAGGAAGGGATGGTGACAGGAAGAGAGGTGGCGTGACCTGTGGACACTGAGGAAGCGTCGGTGACAGGAAGAGAGGTGGCGTGACCTGAGGATGCTGAGGAAGGGCTAGTGACAGGAAGAGGCGTGGTGTCACCTGTGGATGCTGAGGAAAGGCTGGTGACATGAAGAGGGGTGGCGTGACCTGTGGATACTGAGGAAGCGTCGGTGACATGAAGAGGGGTGGTGTCACCTGTGGATGCTGAGGAAGTGTCGGTGACAGGAAGAGGGGTGGTGTCACCTGTGGATACTGAGGAAGCGTCGGTGACAAGAAGAGAGGTGGCGTGACCTGTGGACACTGAGGAAGCGTCGGTGACAGGAAGAGAGGTGGTGTGACCTGAAGATGCTGAGGAAGGGATGGTGACAGGAAGAGAGGTGGTGTCACCTGTGGATGCTGAGGAAGCGTCGGTGACAGGAAGAGGGGTGGTGTCACCTGTGGATGCTGAGGAAGGGCTGGTGACAGGAAGAGGGATGGCCTGACCTGTGGATGCCGAGGAAACGTCGGTGACAGGAAGACGGGTGGTGTCATCTGTGGAAGCTGAGGAAAGGCCGGTGACAGGAAGTGGGGTGGCGTGAGCTGTGGATACTGAGGAAGTGTCGGTGACAGGAAGAGGGGTGGCCTGACCTGTGGATGCTGAGGAAGCGTCGGTGACAAGAAGAGGGCTGGCGTGACCTGTGGATGCTGAGGAAGGGCTAGTGACAGGAAGAGGCGTGGTGTCACCTGTGGATACTGAGGAAAGGCTGGTGACAGGAAGAGGGGTGGCCTGACCTGTGGATGCCGAGGAAACGTCGGTGACAGGAAGATGGGTGGTGTCATCTGTGGAAGCTGAGGAAAGGCCGGTGACAGGAAGAGGGGTGGCGTGACGTGTGGATACTGAGGAATTGTCGGTGACAGGAAGAGGGGTGGCATGACCGGTGGATGCTGAGAAAGTGCTGGTGACAGGAAGAGGGGTGGCGTGACCTGTGGATGCTGAGGAAGGGCTGGTGACATGAAGAGGGGTGGCGTGACCTGTGGATAATGAGGAAGCATTGGTGACAGGAAGAGGGGTGGTGTCACCTGTGGATGCTGAGGAAGTGTCGGTGACAAGAAGAGGGGTGGTGTGACCTGTAGATGCTGAGGAAGGGCTGGTGACAGGAAGAGGGGTGGTGTCACCTTTGGATGCTGAGGAAGTGTCGGTGACAGGAAGAGGGGTGGTGTGACCTGTAGATGCTGAGGAAGGGCTGGTGACAGTAAGAGGGGTGGTGTGACCTGTGGATACTGAGGAAGCGTCGGTGACAGGAAGAGGGGTGGTGTCACCTGTGGATGCTGAGGAAGGGCTAGTGACAGGAAGAGGCATGGTGTCACCTGTGGATGCTGAGGAAAGGCTGGTGACAGGAAGAGGGGTGGCGTGACCTGTGGATGCTGAGGAAGGGCTGGTGACATGAAGAGGAGTGACGTGACCTGTGGATGCTGAGGAAGTGCTAGTGACAGGAAGAGGCATGGTGTCACCTGTGGATACTGAGGAAGTGTCGGTGACAAGAAGAGAGGTGGCATGACCTGTGGATGCTGAGGAAGGGCTGGTGACATGAAGAGGGGTGGCCTGACCTGTGGATGCTGAGGAAGTGTCGGTGACAGGAAGAGGGGTGGTGTGACCTGTGGATGCTGAGGAAGGGACGGTTACAGGAAGAGAGGTGGCGTGACCTGTGGACACTGAGGAAGCGTCGGTGACAGGAAGAGGGGTGGCGTGTCCTGTGGATGCTGAGGAAGTGTCGGTGACAAGAAGAGGGGTGGCGTGACCTGTGGATGCTGAGGAAGGGCTAGTGACAGGAAGAGGCGTGGTGTCACCTGTGGATACTGAGGAAAGGCTGGTGACAGGAAGAGGGGTGGCCTGACCTGTGGATGCTGAGGAAGTGTCGGTGACAGGAAGAGGGGTGGTGTCACCTGTGGATGCTGAGGAAGTGCTGGTGAGAGGAAGAGGGGTGGCCTGACCTGTGGATGCTGAGGAAGTGTCGGTGACAGGAAGAGGGGTGGTGTCACCTGTAGATGCTGAGGAAGCGTCGGTGACAGGAAGAGGGGTGGTGTCACCTGTGGATGCTGAGGAAGTGTCGGTGACAGGAAGAGGGGTGGTGTCACCTGTGGATAATGAGGAAGCATCGGTGACATGAAGAAGGGTGGCGTGACCTGTGGATGCTGAGGAAGGGCTAGTGACAGGAAGAGGGGTGGTGTCATCTGTGGACACTGAGGAAGCGTCGGTGACAAGAAGAGAGGTGGTGTCACCTGTGGATGCTGAGGAAGGGCTGGTGACAGGAAGAGGGGTGGCGTCACCTGTGGATAATGAGGAAGGGCTAGTGACAGGAAGAGGCGTGGTGTCACCTGTGGATGCTGAGGAAGGGCTAGTGACAGGCAGAGGGGTGGCCTGACCTGTGGATGCTGAGGAAGCATCGGTGACAAGAAGAGGGGTGGTGTCACCTGTGGATACTGAGGAAAGGCTGGTGACAGGAAGAGGCGTGGTGTCACCTGTGGATACTGAGGAAAGGCTGGTGACAGGAAGAGGGGTGGCGTGACCTGTGGATACTGAGGAAGCATCAGTGACATGAAGAGGGGTGGTGTGACCTGTGGATGCTGAGGAGGTGTCGGTGACAGGAAGAGAGGTGGCGTGACCTGTGGATGCTGAGGAAGTGTCGGTGACAGGAAGAGGGGTGGTGTGACCTGTGGATACTGAGGAACTGTCGGTGACAGGAAGAGAGGTGGCGTGACCTGTGGATGCTGAGGAAGTGTCGGTGACAGGAAGAGGGGTGGTGTGACCTGTGGATGCTGAGGAAAGGCTGGTGACAGGAAGAGGGGTGACGTGACCTGTGGATTCTGAGGAAGTGTCGGTGACAGGAAGAGGGGTGGTGTGACCTGTGGATACTGAGGAAGGGCTGGTGACAGGAAGAGGGGTGGCGTGACCTGTGGATACTGAGGAAGCATCGGTGACATGAAGAGGGGTGGTGTGACCTGTGGATGCCGAGGAAGCGTAGGTGACAGGAAGAGGGGTGGCGTGACCTGTGGATGCTGAGGAAGTGTCAGTGACAGGAAGAGGGGTGCTGTCCCCCTGTGGATGCTGAGGAAAGGCTGGTGACAGGAAGAGGGGTGACGTGACCTGTGGATTCTGAGGAAGTGTCGGTGACAGGAAGAGGGGTGGTGTGACCTGTGGATACTGAGGAAGGGCTGGTGACAGGAAGAGGGGTGGCGTGACCTGTGGATACTGAGGAAGCATCGGTGACATGAAGAGGGGTGGTGTGACCTGTGGATGCCGAGGAAGCGTAGGTGACAGGAAGAGGGGTGGCGTGACCTGTGGATGCTGAGGAAGTGTCAGTGACAGGAAGAGGGGTGCTGTCCCCTGTGGATGCTGAGGAAAGGCTGGTGACAGGAAGAGGGGTGACGTGACCTGTGGATTCTGAGGAAGTGTCGGTGACAGGAAGAGGGGTGGTGTGACCTGTGGATACTGAGGAAGGGCTGGTGACAGGAAGAGGGGTGGCGTGACCTGTGGATACTGAGGAAGCATCGGTGACATGAAGAGGGGTGGTGTGACCTGTGGATGCCGAGGAAGCGTAGGTGACAGGAAGAGGGGTGGCGTTGCTGATGAGGGCCGTCGTGAAGGTTTTACCAGACCCTGAAGGTGACAGAGTGTGGGTCTCGGTTTGTGGAGATGTAAGCCCACTGGATGTGATCGATGGAGGTGTGGGTGGGACTGTTGAGAAGGTGTCGGTTGCCTGGGACGCCAGGCTGATAGTGTCAGACCCTCTGCTGGTTCTTGTCCTCTGAGTCTGGGCCATCCGGGAAATGGCGGCTGTCTCCTGAGGAGAGGCACTGGGAGAAGTTGGGCTTGACTGTCCTGTCGGTCTCCCTGCAGTGGAGGCCTCAGAGAGGGTGGGATGAAAGGTGCCGGGGACGATCGAAGACGCCATTCCTGTGCTTACTGGGATGGCACCATGACTGGCTGAGGCGGACAGCAATTCGGTTGTTGACTGGGTTGTGTGACTGTCCCTGGAGGGGTTTGATGAAAACCTTGTCGTCTCTCCTGAGGTGGATATTCCTTCGCTTCCTGAAGGTGTTGTGCCACTCGCCCCGGATGAGGAAGGGGTAGCTGTGCCCGCTGAGGTGGTTCGTGACCCTGAGGAGGCCGGTTCGCTGGTCTGTGTTTGTCCAGAGGCCTCTGTGCTCTCAGCCTGGTGGGTATGGGTCATGGCTGCTGCTGTGTCAGGTGAGGTGCTGGCAGAGGCTGATGTCCATTGTCCTTCTGGGCCCCCTGGTGTTGACACTACAGAGTTGGCCAGAGTAAGGGCACCTGTTTTGGAAAGTGACGTGCCTCCTGAGGGCCCCAGGGTGGCATCATGGCTGCTGGGTGCTGCCTGCAGTGCTGTGGTCGGGGCCTGGGTTGTGTGACCATCCCCGGTGGGAGCTGGGGCAAAGGTTGTTGCTGCACTTATGGTGGGTGCGTCCTGAGGAACAATTTCTGAGGGCGAGTGCCCACTGGCTGTGAAGGAAGAACCTGGGGTGGTGACTGTCTTGGTGTCAGTCATGGGGGAGACGGACCTCGTGGTTTGTGATTCTTGTGTGGTCTGCGGGGCTTGAGTGTGACCCCTTTGGGAAACAGCTGGTGATTCCTGAGGAGAGGTGCTTGTGGAATGTATTGTTGAATGATTTGTTGATGGTGCCGTTGTAATTTGTTGTGATGTGTGTCTATCCAGCATAGGTGAAGAAGATGGGGATGTGGCCGTTTTTATCATCTGAGTCACACTGTAGCTTGGGCTGCTGAGAAGAGCCTCTCCAGTGGTCCCCGTTTCTTGTGTCCATTGTGTCTGGGCGCCTGCCCCTGTTGTTTTTGGGAGAGTTGTGCTGTGGGAGGAGTATGTGGTGGGCTCTCCTGGTTCCCCTATTGCTGAGACCTTAGAGGGGACCCTTGGAATAGTGCCAGCTGCCCCTGTAGATGGATTTCCTGTGACAAGCCTAGTGGCAGCACCTGTTGATGTTGAGGGCAGTTCTGTTTGTGACCAAGTTGTGTGGCCTTTGCTGGAGAATGAGGAAGGCCATGTTGTTGTTTCATGTAGAGTAAATATTTCTTGAGACACACCTGGAGAGAATGAGCTCCTCTCATGAGGCCGTCCTGTGGTCTCTGCACCTTCACTCTGCTGGGTGTGGAAAGCTGTGGATATTTTTGGAGGTAGAGAACTGGGGGAGAGTGCTGTTGACAGAGTGTCTGACCACCATATGGTTGAAACTTTGGAAGTGATTGCAGAAATGGTTCCACTTACAGATAGTGATGTCTCCTCTGTGTTTCCAAGAGTAGAGTCTCTGGAGATTGGCATTCTGAACACCTTTGATGTTACCAGGAATGTATTGCTGACACTGGAAGGGGATGAGATGGTTGTTTCACCAGAAGGGAATGTCTCCTGAGAAACTGTTCCACTTGGGTTGAATCCACTTGGTGAGGATAAAACAGTTGATGTTGTAACCGGTGTGAGGGTGTTGAGGGTGTTGATTTGAGATACTCTGGTGGTCTCCACGCTCTGAGTCTGGTGGTTCTTAGAAAAAGCTGTTGTGTCCTGAGTAGAAGTCCTTGAGAAAGTTGCTGGTGATTGTCCTTCTGGATCAACTGTTACTAAGGCTGCTGAGGTGACTGGCATAAGACTTCCAGTAACAGGTACTGATGATGTCTCCCCTGGGTTTCCAAGAGTGGAGCCTGTGGAGGTTGTCACTGTTATCTTCTCTGATGTCATCATGGATGTGTTTGTGACACTACAGAGGGATGAGGTAGCTGTTTCACCTGAAGGAGATGTCTTCTGAGAAACAGTCCCTGTCACATTGTGTACACTTGGAGAGAAAGAAGGAGTTGAAGTGGTTCTGTGTGTTAGGGTGCTGGTTTGAGATTCCCTGGTGGTCTGCGTGCTCCGAGTCCAGTGGTTCTGAGAAGAAGCTGATGTGTCTTGGATAGAGGTCCTCCAGGAAGTTGTTCGTGATTGTCCTTCCTGTCCAGCTGTTATTGAGACTGCTGAGGTCACTGGGGTAGAACTTTCAGTTCCTGCTGTTGATGTCTCTTCTGTGTTTCCAAGAGTGGAGTCTGTGGAGGTTGTCATTGTTATAGTCTTTGATGTCATCATGAGTGTGTTGGTGACACTGGAGGGAAATGATGTGGTCATTTCATCTGGAGGAGCTGTCTCCTGCGTAACAGTCTCCATCACATTGTGTACACTTGGGGAAGAAAAAAGAGTTGATGTCATCATCTGCGTGAGGGTGTCGGTTTGAGCTTTGCTGGTGGTCTCCGTGCTCTTAGTCTGGTGGTTCTGAGATGAAGCTGATATGTCCTGATTAGAGGTCCTTGAAGAAGCTGCAGTTGATTGTCCCTCTAGTGTCGCTGTTGTTGAGCCTGTTGAGGTGACTGGGGCAGCAGTTTTACTTCCAGTTATTAATGTGTCCTCTGTGGTTCCTGGAGTGAACCAAAATAGGCAAGCAGAGAGCTAAATCATGAATGAACTCCTATTCACAATTGCTACAAATAGAATAAAATACCTAGGAATACAGCTAACAAAGGATGTGAAAACTACCATTCTTCACAGAATGAGAACAAACTACTTTAAAATTCATATGGAATCAAAAAAGAACCCAAATAGCCAAGACAATCCTAAGCAAAAAGAACAAAGTGGGAGGCTACCTGACTTCAAACTATACTACAAGGCTACAGTAACCAAAACAGCATGGTACTGGTACCAAAACTGACGTATAAACCAATGGAACAGAATAGATACCTTGGAAATAAGACCACACATCTACAACCATCTGATCTTTGACAAACCTGACAAAAGCAGGCAATGGGGAAAGGATTCTCTATTCAATAAATGGTGCTGGGAAAACTGGTTAGCCATATGCAGAAAACTGAAACTGGACCCCTTCCTTACACCTTATACAAAAATTAACTCAAGGCAGGTTAAAGACTTACATGTAAAACCCCAAACCATGAAAACCCTAGAAGAAAACCTAGGCAATACCATTCAGGACATAGACATAGGCAAAGATTTTATGATGAAATCTCCAAAAGCACTTGCAACAAAAGCTAAAATTGACAAATGGGATCTAATTAAACTAAAGAGCTCTGCACAGCAAAAGAAACTATCATCAGAGCAAACAGGCAACCTACAAAATGAGAAAATTTTTGCAATCTAACCATCTGACAGAGGTCTAATATCCAGAATTTACAAGGAACTTAAATTTACAAGAAAAAAATAAACAACCCCATCAAAAAGCAGGCAAAGGATATGAACAGACACTTATCAAAAGAAGACATTTATGCCACCAACAAACATATGAAAAAAGGCTCATCATCATGGATCATTAGAGAAATGCAAATCAAAACTACAAAGGGATATCATCTCACACCAGTCAGAATGGCAATTATTAAAAAGTCAAGAAACAGCAGATGCTGGCAAGGCTGTGGTGAAATAGGAACGCTTTTACACTGTTGGTGGGAGTGTAAATCAGTTCAACCATTGTGGAAGACAGTGTGGCGATTCCTCAAGGATCTAGAACCAGAAATACCATTTGACCCAGCAATCCCATTACTGGGTATATGCCCAAAGGAATATAAATCATTCTGTTATAAAGATACATGCACACGTATGTTTACTGCAGCACTATTTACAATAGTAAAGACATGAAACCAACCCAAATGTCCATCAGTGATAGACTGGATAAAGAAAATGTGGTACATATGCAGCACGGAATACTATGCAGCCATGAAAAAGGAATGGGATCATGTCCTTTGCAGGTACATGGATGAAGCTGAAAGCCATCATCCTCAACAAACTAACAGGGGAACAGAAAACCAAACACTGCATGTTTTCACTCATAAGTTGGAGTTGAACAATGAGAACACATGGACACAGAGAGGGGAACAACACACACTGGCGCCTGTCAGGGACGGGACAAGGGGAGGAAGAGCGTCAGGATAAATAGC
Source organism: Homo sapiens (assembly GCF_000001405.40). Taxonomy (NCBI): domain Eukaryota; kingdom Metazoa; phylum Chordata; class Mammalia; order Primates; family Hominidae; genus Homo; species Homo sapiens. The sequence goes on from NT_187689.1 coordinate 162,871, forward strand.
TAATACATGCAGGTGATGGGTTGATAGGTGCAGTAAACCACCATGGCACATATATACCTGTGTAACAAACCTGCACGTTCTGCACATGTATCCTGAAACTTAAAGTAAAAAATGAAAAGAAATAAAAAGAAAAAATGAAAAATTAATATATCACAACTGTACATATTTGGGGGATAAAAAAATAATAAGAGATGGGGCCGGGCATGGTAGCCCCACCTGCAATCCCAGCACTTTGGGAGGCTGAGATGGGTGGATCACTTGAGGTCAGGAGTGCGAGACCAGCCTGGGCAATATGGCAAAACCCCGTCTCTACTAGAAAAAAAAATACAGAAATAGCTGGGCGTGGTGGTGGGTGCCTGTAATCCCAGTTACTCAAAAGGCTGAGGCAGGAGAATTGCTTGAACCCAGGAGGTGGAGGTTGCAGTGAGCAGACATCATGCCACTTCACTGCAGCCTGGGCGACAGAGCAAGATTCTGTCTCAAAAAAAAAAAATAAATAAAATAAAAAAGGAGAGAGAGATGGGGGTGCAGGATTCCCACAGAGGAAGGCCCCTGATAAGCACTGCTTCAAATCGCCTAGAAAAAGCACAGTTGCAGGAATATAGCCAATGGTCTTCTCCAGCTCCCGCCTGTCTTCCTTGTGAGGAGGAAGGTGAGGTTAGACTAGAATGGTGAATTAACTGTGTTAAACTCCATGGGAAGAGGCAAACAGTACCCCTGCTATAAGCCGGGTTAACTCTCTCAACTTGAATTATAGCATTATCTTTCTTAAAAATAAATTAAATTTCTACTTTTCTTTTTCGTTGTTAACATCTGTGCCAATCTAGTAAAAAACCCAAGGGGTAAATGCATATACTCTTGCCCTGGTCACAGACTACCAAGAAGCTAATATTATTGACCATAACCACTTTTTAAAAAAAAATTATTTCCCAGGCAGAGGCCAGGCATGGTGGCTCATGTCTGTAATCCCAGCATTTTGGGAGGCCAAGGTGGGAGGATCACTCGAGGCCAGGAGTTTGAGACCAGCCTGGGCAAGATAGCGAGACCCTGTGTCTTAAAAAATAAAAATAATAATAATAATAATAATAATAATAATAATAGATATTAAATAAATAAAGAAAAATATTTCCCAGGCAGAATGTTTAAATATTGGCTTTTTTTGTTTAAAATATTTCACAGCACCTGCACTAGCCACATACCATCTTCGTGAATATTACCTTAGCCTCTGAGTCTCTGAACCAAGAAGAAACCAAGAAAACTTGCCTTTTTTTTTCTCTTAGAAACTGACTCTTTTGGGTTTTCATTAGTTCCCTAGCTGTTCTCAAACTTCTTTCTTTTTTCTTTTTAAACATATATATATATAGAGAGAGAGAGAGAAGAAAGAGAGAGAGAGAGAAAGAAAGAGAGAGAGAGAAAGAGAGACAGGGTCTTCTGTCACCCAGGCTGAAGTTCAGCGGTGTAATTGGCCTTCTGAGTAGCTGGGACTACAGGCACACACAACCATGCCTGGGTAATTTTTTTATTTCTGTAGAGGTGGAATCTTGCTATGTTGCCTAGGCTGCTGTCGAACTCCCGGCCTCAAGCGATCCTCCTGCTTCAGACTCTCAAAGTACTGGGATTAAAGGTGTGAGCCACCGCTCCCACCCTTTTTTTCAACCTCAGTGCTCCTAGATAGTTGGCAAGATGATACTCAGAGAGACAAAGTCTCAGGGAAGAATTCAGCTTCAAGTCCACTTTCTGGAATTGACTGTAATTCGCCACCTTCTCTTCTTCAGACAGTAACTTAGACTCTCAAGTGAGTGATAATGGTTATGGACCAGCTCTAATTGTTAAAAAAGTGACTCACGTGCAAGCTTCTGCACTTCATTAATAGTAACTGCTTACTGGTGACACACTTGTAAACCGACGTGGACAAAGGCACGGGCTGAACCGCAGAGCCCTCTGGGAGGTCCCTGGGCCCCTGGCTTAATCCAAAATGACTCCACTTCAACTTTAAACGGAAACTTCCTTTAGTTGGAATTAGGTTGAGATTTGTTGATAGGACTCTAAACTCGATGCCTGCTTTCTCCTAGAGAAAATTTGCAAAACTTGGTTTCTCCAAATAAGGTTTAAATTTAAAAACATTCTCTATGCAGTTATTTTTAACCTTATTTCATTTCCCTGATAACATAATTAAGAGCATTTGTCTATCATCAGGCTTTGAGTAGACAGGAGCTATCTAGGGGCCAAACTTTCTGAATGTGTAAATTCTTGGCAATTAACATCTTTTCAGAGCCTGCATCACCTCTGCTAAAATCAGTGTCAGCAGCAGAAGTTTCATGACAGCACCGTCCTTTTTTTTAAAGTAAAGATTTTTGTAGTTCTTTATAAAAGTGGCACAGCTCCATTTCAGCAATATGGAAGAAGAGATAAGCCTCTAATAGCAAAACCAGCCGATGCCAGATAAATACAGGTTATAAATGTAATAAATGTTTTCTAATGCAGAGGTGAGATGAGAAGAAAGAAAGGGAAACACTCAGGAGTGAAGAAGTTAACAACTAAGATGGTGAGTCAATGCCCTTGGAAATGTGCTGACTGAAAGGCTGAAAAAGGAAAGGAAGCAAGACCCTCGGTCACGACACTGAACTGAGTTTCCCTGCAAAAAGCTGGAACCGCCAGCAAAAAAGGTGGACTAGAAAGACCAGGAAGAAAAAAGAAAAAGGAAGCAGAATGAAGGATATAGTAACAGACCAGAACTCACTATAGAAACAATTAAAAATGGAATAAATGAAGCCAAAGATTAGTTCTTTGAAAATAAAACAAACACCTGGCAAGAGAAAGAAAGTGGGGGGGGGGTGGGAGGAGGGAGAGAGAGAGACAGAAAAGACACAGATATCAAGATTATTAGAAACAAAAAAGGGTACATAACTTCAGAAAAAAAATTTAAGAGACAGTGCTCTGATGAATTTATACCAAAAAGTATGAAAACTTAGATAAATTGGATATACTGTCCTTAAAAATATAATTTATCAAAAATGAATTAAGAAAAAAACCTGGCTAAAAACTATTTTATTTTATTTATTTAATTTTATTTATTTATTTTTTTGAAACAGAGTCTTGCTTTGTTGCCCAGGCTGGAGTGCAATGGCATGATCTCAGCTCACTGCAACCTCTGCCTCCCAGGTTCAAGATTCTCCTGCTTCAGCCTCCCAAGTAGCTGGGATTACAGGCGCATGCCACCACGCCCGGCTAATTTTTGTATTTTTAGTAGAGACTGGGTTTCACCATGTCGTCCTGGCTGGTCTCAAACTCCTGACCTCAGGTGATCTACCCACCTCGGCATCCCAAAGTGCTGGGATTACAGGCATGAGCCACCTCGCCCTGCCACTATAAACTATTTTAAATTGAATCAGCAGTTTAAAAAATATAATCTAGGCCGGGTGCGGTGGCTCACGCCTGTAATCCTAACACGTTGGGAGGGTGAGGCAGGCGGATCATGAGGTCAGGAGATTGAGACCATCCTGGCTAACACGGTGAAAAAAAAATTAGCTGGGCATGGTGGCAGGCGCCTGTAGTCCCAGCTACTCTGGAGGCTGAGGCAGGAGAACGGCGTGAACCTGGGAGGCAGAGGTTGCAGTGAGCGGAGATCATGCCATTGCACTCCAGCCTGGGTGACAAGGTGAGACTCCGTCTCAAAAAAAAATATGTATATATAATCTATCCACCCCACAAAAAAATGCAGGCTAAGATGAGTTTACAGGCAAATCAGACATTCAAGGAACAGGTAATTTCAATTCTATACAAACATATTCAGAGTTTGGAACAGGAGGAAATGATCTACTAATAATTTTATAAGGTTGGAAACCAAAGATAGGATAAGAAAGACAAACTATAGATTAATAAGTCCCAGTAATAATACATGGAAGCATCGTAAATAAAATATTAGCAAGCCAAAGTGCATCATGGCCGGGCGCGGCGGCTCACGCCTGTAACCCCAACACTTTGGCAGGCCGAGGCAGGCGGATCACTTGAGGCCGGGAGTTCCAGACCAGCCTGGCCAACCTAGAGAAACCCCGTCTCTGGTAAAAATACAAAAAATTTGTATTTTTTTGGATTACAGGTGTGTGCTGGGCTTGGTGGCACACACCTGTAATCCCAGCTACTCAGGAGGCTGAGGCACGAGAATTGCTTGAACCCAGGAGGCAGAGATTGCAGTGAGCCGAGATTGTGCCACTGCACTCCAGCCTGGTGACAGAGCAGGACTCTATCTTAAATAAATAAATAAATAAATAAATAAATAAATATTTTAAAAGTACATCATGATCAAGCTGAGTTTAAATCAGAAATGCAAGATAAAGACAATGCTTTCTTAATGTAAATCACCATATAAACAGAATGGAGGGGAGACACAATCACCACAGCAGATACAGGAAAGTTATTTGATAAAAGTCAACACTTACTCCTGTTAAAACTCCTAGCAAACTAAAAAGAGACGTTAACTCTTTTAACCTGATAAACAATGTCAATTATAACCCCGTGTAAACATTATACTTAAAACAATAGAAACGTTTCTGTAAAATCAGGAATAAAAACAAGATGCCAACAATCACTGCTTCTAATCAACATTAGGTTGAAGGTTTTAGCTGGTGAAATAAGACGAGAAAATTAAACAAAAAGTATGAGAGTACAGAAATGTGATTTTGGGTATGGAAGGGATGAAACAAGCCTATGGTTATTTGCAGATAACATAATTGTTTACATAGAAACTTCCCAAACATATACATTATTAGCAAAGTTCTATATCCATAATCAAAATTTTAAAAATAATTGCATTCCAGCTGGGTGTGGTGATTCATGCCTGAATCCCAGTGCTTTGAGAGGCTGAGGCAGGAGGAACACTTGAGGCCAGGAGTTCAAGACCAGCCTGGGTAACATAGCAAGATCCTGTCTCTACAGAAATAAAAAATAAAAAAATAAAAAATTAGCTGGGCATAGTAGCACACACATATAGTTCCAGCTACTCAGAAGTTGAGGGGGGAGGATCACTTGAGCCCAAGAGTTCGAGGCTGCAGTGAGCTATGATCACCCCACTGTACTCCAGCCTGCATGACAGAGGGAGACTCTGTCTCAAAAAGAGATTTAAAAACAAAATAAAACTGCATTCCTATATATCAGTGAAAGAGAAAATATTTTTAAGACTATAGTGTTTATGATGGTGACCAAAAAAAGTACATAAAAATAAATCTAACAAAAGATGTGCTTAATCTTTATGGACAAAATTGTACAACTGCATTGAAATATGCCAAAGAAAACACACATACTGGTTACGTGCATTTGGGAACATTTATAGTTGAAAGATCAAAACCCATAATCTTGCTACCAGACAATGCTTCCTTCCAGGATGTTTTTATGCTTTAAAAAATATATAGTTTAGGCCAGGCGTGGTGGCTCACACCTGTAATCCCAGCGCTTTGTGAGGCTGAGGTGGGCGGATCATGAGGTCAGGAGATCGAGACCATCCTGGCTAACAGGGTGAACCCCCGTCTCTACTAAAAATACAAAAAAATTAGCCGGGCGTGGTGGCGGGCGCCTGTAGTCCCAGCTACTCGGGAGGCTGAGGCAGGAGAATGGCGTGAACCCGGGAGGCGGAGCTTGCAGTGAGCCGAGATTGCACCACTGCACTCCTGCCTGGGTGACAGAGTGAGACTCCGTCTCAAAAAAAAAATTAAAAATTAAAAAATATATATGTATAGTTTAACTTATTCAGTATACATAATTTTGTATCCTGCCTTTTTAGCCATACCTGATATGAGCATTTCTTCAAGATACTAGCTTCGTAAACATAGCCTGAGAAGACGCACATCTTTTATGTCTTGGATGGCAGTTCCTTGCTTCCCCCTTTTGGAGTCCTACAAGAGCTGGCTCAGGGGGACTGGGAGAGCTCAGCTCCATAGTAAAATCTAGGGTGCTGTATAAAAACTCCCCCTGCTGAGCTCTGGTGGCCTCCTTCCTAACAAAGCCACTCCCCCAACTGGAAGCGTTGTTACCCTTCCCATTTTCTGTTAAACAGGAGCAGGTCTCTCTCCTGTACCACATCCTGCTGTGTGTCCACCATACCCACCTCTCTGTGCAATGAGAGCTCGGGGGTCATGTGGACTCCACTGCTCCCTGCTCGCAATTTCTCCTTAATACATCTTACTTTATGCCCGTTCTGTGTGTTGCTAGTATGTATGTGTGACACTGTGTGTGTGTGTGTGTGTGTGTGTGTGTGACACTGTGTGTGTGTGTCCCTGCCCTTATGGAACATTGGACATAGCCTTTAAACATTTTTTTTTCCAGATGGAGTTTCACTCTTGTTGCCCAGGCTGGAGTGCAACGGCACGATTTCGGCCCACTGCAACCTCCACCTCCGTGATTCTCCTGCTTCAGCCTCCCAAGTAGCTGGGATTACAGGCATGTGCCACCATGCCAGGCTAATTTTTTGTATTTTTAGTGGAGACTGGGTTTCACCATGTTGGCCAGGCTGGTCTCAAACTCTTGACCTCAGGTGATCCACTCACCTCAGCCTCCCAAAGTGCTGGGATTACAGGCGTGAGCCACCGCGCCCGGCCTAAACACTAAATAATAAGCCATCATAGAGAAAGCTCATATTGTTAACTTACTGTTGGACAATTAGGATATTTCCAATGTATTGCTTATTTTAAATAAAGCCCTGATGACTATCTTTGTGTCTAATGTTTTGTTTACATTATTTCAGCTCATCTCCTTAACATAAATTTCTATCAGTGGAATTGCTGGTTTATGCTGTTATAAAATTTTTCATGTTATTAATACAGACTGCCAAATTTCTTTGCAGAAAGCTTATGCCAATTTACAGACCTGTTGGCAGTGTGCAAGAGTGTGCCTGTTTCCCCATATCCCTAGCCTGTGAACAAAGGGGCATGATCCAGGACAGGCCCCATCCCTCACCTGCTGCTCTTTGCTTCACAGCATCGACTGAAAATCGGCCAGGTGCGGTGCCTCACACCTGTAATCCCAGCACTTTGGGAGGTCGAAGCGGGTGGATCATTTGAGGTCAGGAGTTCAAGACCAGCCTGGCCAACATGATGAAACCCCATCTCTACTAAAAATACAAAAATTACCCAGGCATGGTGGCGTGCACCTGTAATCCCAGCTACTCAGGAGGCTGAGGCAGGAGAATCTCTCAAACCTGGGAGGTGGAGGTTGCAGTGAGCCGAGATCGCGCCACTGCACTCCAGCCTGGGCGACAGAGCGGGACTCCATCTCAAAAAAAAAAAAAATTCTTGCTAAACAGGGCTGTGTCCTGGTAGTCCTCCTTTTAAATCTTTATTTAGAGAACTTGCTCATCTTGAGCCAAGTTGATTAGAGTTTCCTGCTGCCGCAAATAGGAGGGCAAGTGAGTCACTGCATGTGGAGGACATAGTTTTATTGTCTAGGGGAGAAGGCGCTGTCAAAATCTCTCAATCTGTTGGGCTTGTGAGGAGGAAGAGATTAGCATTCGTTACGACAAAACTACAGTTATTGCATTTGTTTTTCACCATCATTTAAACAATACCTCTGAAGCCACTCCTGCAATAGATTGATTATTCAGCTGTTTAGGAAAACAATTTGCAGATAACTCAATCTACTAAGCTTGAGTAGGTTATTTGTAGGTAAGAAATCCTGTGTTCAAGTATGACCTATCTTTACAAAGAAGAAAAAGAAAGAAATCCTAGTGGATGGAGAGACTATGGAGAATGATTTTTGGTAAGAAAATGGTTCTCAGCTGGGCATGGTAGCTCATGCCTAAAATCCCAGCACGGACAGGCAGAGGCGGGAGGATTCCTTGAGGCCAGGAGTTTGAGACCAGCCTGGGCAATAGCTCAAGACCCCTTCTCTGAAAAAAAAAAAAAAAAAAAAAGTGGTTCTCAAAAGGCAGAGGGTGCATCAGCATTTTAACACATGTCCAGAGTGATTCTGATGCAGGTGGTCCGTGGACCCCACGTTCAGAAACACTTCCCTTAAAATAAAATGATAGTATCCACTCTTAACAATGTTTGTAAGCCAAAACCATCTCGCTGAAGTTGTCAGGCAGAGAAATTTGAAGCCTTGATCAAGTTTTATTCTAAAAAATACTCATAGCCTTGTTCTTGCTGCTCAAGTGTTGGCCAGAATGAACTGACCTTGGCTCTCACCAGGATGCAAGTCAGGCCCTTCAGGTTCCGTCAGATTGTCAGACAACTGAAACTTGTTCTCACTCTGGCCAAACGCATAAACTTGGGGAGCAGAGAGCTGGGAGATTTGCGCCTAAAGAGTTGATATTGGAGAGAAACAGGTCTCTCCTCTCTCTTCTCTCCCCGTGACCCTCCATTTTCTACTTCACTGAAAGAACCAAAGCCGTGCCCTTCATCTCCTTCAATGCCCAGAGCCTTCTCCGCACCCTCCCCGGGGCCCCGGGGCTCCCTCCTGCCCGGATGGCTCACTGCTCTGCCTCTGTGTCTCCGACGTTCTTTCTGCCTTTCTCCTTCTCTCCTGCCTGTGAGCATGTTCAGGTGTCTGTTGGCCTAAAACAAGTCTGTCATCCGTCTGTGTCCTCCTCGTCCCTCCAGCAGCATGAAAGCCGGGCTTCCCCTGCCGCCTCTTCTTTACCACGCACTGCTCGCTCTGCCCCCACCTCACTCACTTCGCTCAAGCCGTTTTCCTCAGAGCTACCAGAATCTCCTTCCCAACAGCAAAAACGATTTTCTCCAGTCCTCACGCGTCTCATCAGTTCGGCCCCATCCATTCATTCATTCATGAATCTGACAGATGTGTATTGCGCCCCCCCCTCCACGTGCTCTCCCTGGCCGGCGGCCCCGTGCCACCACCCAGCCTCACCCTCATTGAAGCTGACGGGTCCTGCTCCACCGTCCACGCTCCCGGGCCCTCCACTCCACTCCCCTTGCCACCTCTCTCCCCCGCTCCACGCCCAGATGACATGTCTCCAGCCCTTTCCCTCTCCTGCTGCCCCTCCCTCTCTGGCCACCCTGCGTCTACTCTCACGCCTTACAAATCTGTACTTCTCCCTGACTTCCCACCCATATGCTGGCCTCACCCTCCCAGGGATTTCCTGCCTAGCTCATGCAATGCAACAGGTCCAGGTCAATCTTTCCTTGCAAGCTTTCTTCCTTCCTTCTGTTCATGCTAACAACAGTCCCCCAGACATCCAGCCCAGAAAGCTGTGGGTCCTCTGGATTTCTTTCTCTTCCTTGTCCCCTGTGTCCTAGTCAGTACTCGTTGATCTTCCTCCCAAGTGTTCACCCCATCGCGTCCTCTTGTTTGCTTTGCCACATCCTCCCCGTCGCTTTGACTACTGCGGCAGCCTCCTCACTGCCCCTGCTGACTCGGGTTCCGCACCCCTGCTCTCAGCCTCCACCGCACCCCTGTGGGTTGATCCTCAGCTCTGAGGGCCAGGAGGGAGGGTTGCTGCTGCTGTCTCCTTAGCTCGAATTGCTTTGGAAAATGGCCTGCCCTGCCTGCCCTGGAAGGTGTCTGGTAGGTCCTGGGGTCACAGACTGGTGACTGGCATTGGTCCTGGGTGTCTGCGTAGGTCCCGGGGGCGTGGGTCTAGTGGTCAGAGACTGGTGACTGGCATTGCCATTGTGACACGGATGTCAGAAACCAGAATCCTCAGAGGGAGGCCACTGGGCAAGAATGACCTTCGTCTGGTTGTGACTGAGGAAAGATACTTCCAGCGCGTCTGTGTGCGTGGCAGGGTGGCTTCTGTAATAAGAAATGGCCACGCCAAGGGATTTCTCGTTTCTGCGGGAGACATTGTTCAGTTTTGTAGCCGGCAGCTTAAATTCAAAATGCATTTTAAACATGTTTTCCCCTTTCTCTTGGGTTTCCAAATACAACCTTGAGGCAGCTGCAAAGGCCGTTTTCCTCAGCCTAAAAATAGACTTCACGCCCCTCCCTTTTCTCACGATCTGTACACACTCCCTCCCTCTTCTCACCGTCTGTACACACTCCCTCCCTTTTCTTGTCATCTGTATACACTCCCTCCCTTTTCTTACTGTCTGTATATACTCCCTTCCATTTCTCTGCGTGCGAGGATCGAATTATATGTCTTCCTAAAAGTTGCAGGGGCTAAAACCTTGAGAGAGACAAACCACATCTGAAAATCCAGCTGCAAAATCCCAGAAATTACTTCAAGACAGCTCTTGTTAAAATAATGTCAGCCAGAGGTCCGGACGGACTGGGACCCAGAAGAGCCACCAGAACAAGACATGCGGACACAGGACTCAGCCCGATTCTTGCGTGCCTTCCTTATCAAGGCTTTCCCCTCTGAAAATTAAAGCAGCTACTTTAAGTAGAAATCTGGCTGCTTCCCCTTTACTAGTTTTGGTTAATAAATTCACGTTCTTCCTACCAGACCTTATGAATTAAACTATCCGTTTAATATAATATAAACTCTCTGCAAGCAGCGAGAGCCTCCGCATCTGCGCTGGGTCGAGTGACTGAGGGTCAGCTGACTTGTGATGAACACACCAGGGAGGTGGGGCTTCTTTTTACTTCTCTCGTAGGCACGTTATGACTCTATGAATAATACAAATGTTCACAGCTCATGTTCATGTGGTGCTTTATAGCTTATCTTGTTAATAGCGGCCCCATTTCACAGGCGGGGAAATCGAGATTCAGCGGCCCCATTTCACAGGCAGGGAAATTGAGATTTGAAGAGACCGAGTGATATTATATGCCTTGGAAGTAGCAGGGCCGGGGGCTCGGGGTAAGAGCCATTGCTCGGAAGCTGCGAGCTGCTCAGCTCTGGGACTGCCACCGAGTGGATGGAGAGCTGAGGCAAAGATGGAGAAATGGTCACTGACCTGCCCCAAGTTCTTGGACTGCCACATGCAGAGGGCTCTGAGCCTGAGGCCGAGCCAGGCACATTCTCGGGGTGGACGCTGTGACACTGGGGTGTTTTTGCAATGTTCCTGGTGTCTCTTTTCTGGGATGATGTTAGAGTGAGTGTGAAGGCTGTTGACACCTTAAGGTGACAAGATCACTGTGAGAAGACACACGTGTGTCATTGAGTAAAACGGATAGTTTTTAAGACATTCTCTCAGAGGAAGAGTCTCCATCCAGGGACGAGGAGGGCACTGGCGTTGGCACTGAGGTAGAGACGTTCCCCACATCTGAGTCCTTGAAGGCTCTGTCAAGCCTCTGCCATCACGTCAGCCAGAGATCTCCCATCAAGGTAGTTCTTTTCTCTCCTTGAACCACGTCAGGTGGGAGACGGCCCACAGCTGCCTCACGTCTGTTAGGGCTCCAGGATGTGAAGGCCGAGTGGCAGTAGGCATCGTTTTCCCCAGATGGCCCCTCTGGTGACTCCACAGGTGTGCCGAGGTGACAGGTGTGCTGTTGGCTCGGGAGAAGGAGTGGCAGCAGTATGAGTGACGCTGGCAGAAGACAGATTCCAAGAAGGGTGAAGCCACTCCCTGAAGACACACAAAGCCTGCGGCTTTCTAAGTGCTGTGGGTTGAGGCTTATTCCTAGCATCTGGTCTGTTTGTCTTGGGTTTTTCCTGGAACTGGAGGTGAGGAACCCGTAAGCCGTATCGCCACAGTGTTTCACTTTCCTGGAGGGGAATTACTTCCTGACGGGTGGGGCCCCTTGCCAGGCTGCCTCGGGCAGGGCAGTGTAAGCCCAAGGGAAGTGCCCAACGGTAAGGATGGCCTTGAGGAGAACATTCAGCCCCACACAGGCAGCAGGCGGCCCGGAAGGCGCGCAGACGCTGAACCGCTGGCCCCACCGCCTTTGGCAGGGAGCTAATGCTATTTGTGTATCAGCCCAGAATCAACTGTGACCAGGGTTGTGTCCACTGGGTACTTCCCTAGAATTCAAGATGAGGAAAGACACTAACTCAAGATACCCTTGGAATAACAGACCTCTTGTGATCTCCAGCGCCTGAAACGAGACTTGGCATACAGCAGTGACTTCGTACACATCTGTGGAATACATCCCAGGCCCTGTGGCCTTTGTTGCCTTCAGCCGAGGCTGGAGAGAGGGTGACGTTGCCTGTTTCTTTATCTTTATCTTTTTTTTTTTTGAGATGGAGTCTCGCTCTGTCGCCCAGGCAGGAGTGCAGTGGTGCGATCTCAGCTCACTGTAACCTCCACCTCCCAGGTTCAAGTCCCTTCACAGTGGACTCCAAGGCGAGAACTTTACCCGTTCTTTCCAACGATCCCCGCCGAAGTCACACCCCAACCCATGGATCCCACCACCGGTCATTTGACCTCATTTCTGTCAGCATCTGGTGTGGCAGCACCCAGCCACTCTGGTGATCGCCACAGAAGCTCCAGCACCAAACCAAGAAGCACCAAAATCCGGCTGTGAGCACAGCACGCCGGCCAGCTCAACTCTCTTTTCCCCAACGCCTCCTTCTCGGAGGTGCCATCTCCAGTCTCCACCATCTTGGTGTTGCCACCCATCTCTCCTGGCTCCCACTGGGGCAGGCACATCCTCCTAGCCTAGCGCTGTCCTCAGGAGCCTGGCTGCCTCTCCACAGTGGTTAGCCTCGGGCTGTCCTGGTGTGGTGGTGTGTGCCTGTGATCCCAGTTGGAATCAAGTGCTTCTCCTGCCTCAGCCTCCTGAGTAGCTGGGATTACAGGTGCCCACCACCATCTCCTGCTAATTTTTGTATTTTTAGTAGAGACGGGGTTTTGCCATGTTGGCCAGTCTGGTCTCAAACTCCTGACCTCAAGTGATCTGCCCGCTTCAGCTTCCCAGAGTGCTGGGATGACAGCCATGAGTCACTGTGCCTGGCCTTGTCTGTCATTTCAATTACTCAAAATCCATAATCTGGGCCGGGCGCAGTGGCTCACACTGGTAATCCCAGCACTTTGGGAGGCCAAGGTAAGCAGATCACTTGAGGTCAGGAGTTCGAGACTAGCCTGACCAACATGGCAAAACCCCATTTCTACTAAAAATACAAAAATCAGCAGAGCATGGTGGCATGTGCCTGTGATCCCAGCTACTCGGGGGGCTGAGGCACGAGAATCCCTTGAACCCTGGAGGCAGAGGTTGCAGTGAGCCGAGATAACGCCACAGCACTTCAGCCTGGGTGACACAGTGAGACTCTGTCTCAAAAATATAAATAAATAAAATAACATAAAATTCATAATCTATTCCACAGCTTGCAAAGCCCTGCGCGATCTAACACCTGCCTTCTCTTTCAAGTCCTCCAAGGGGCCAAGCTCTTTCCTGCCTCTCCATGAGCTCCGCCTCTGCCTGCTCAGGCCTGGCACCTTCTCCACCTGGCTGTCCTCAGCCTCAGGCCTCAGCTCCCCGCAGAACGGTTCCTCACAGGGCCCTTCCTGACTTGTCAGTCAGATGCACCTCCCCTACTCTCTGGCCATTCGAAATGCAGCTCTCAGCACACCCTGTACTTTTCCACACTGCATTTACCACATGTGCAGTTGAGAACATTTCCGTAATTATTTGATGTCTGTCTGCACCAAGATTTTAGTGCCAAGAGACTGGGCCACGTCTGTTTCACTCTTCACTGTGTGCATCCAGTGCTGTGTCCTAGAACAATGTCAGGAACTTAAGGCAGGCGTTTCCTAAATGGTGGTTTAATTAACAAATGAATGAATGAATGGCTGTCTCAGCAGGGTGTGTGAATGCTTCTGTTCTTCCCTCCGTCGGTGGGCTGGGCTGGTTTGGAGATTGCCGAAAGGCTGTGTGCTGCAGTGAGTCAGGAGACCTGGGTTCTAGTCCCAGCTGCCTCACTTATGGGTTCTATGATCTTAAACAAGTCACTTAACTTAGAGAGCTTTGAAAAGCAGGAACTGTGACGCATTCATCTTCCTGTCCAGAGCAGCTGGCATGAGTAGAAATTCTGCAAGTGAATGAACAACTCCAAAGTCTAGGCTGTTTCTTATTCCAAATTCCCCCAAAATCCACTGGCCACTGGACTTTTGGAACCTAAACTGCAACCTGGGCGGGGCGGCATCTCTACAGAGAGTCGATGTCTGTCCTCTGTGGTCCCTAAACACATACACGGGGAGTGGAGCTGCGGGCAACCCAGGCCAGTGCCCTTCCTCCAAGCAGGGCCGCCATTGCAAGGCCTCACGTGCAACACAAATGCCCAGTTCCTGAGACTTCTTCAGAGTCTCCAGGAAAAGGGTGAAAAGGCATTTAAACCTCTATGAAGTAGGGCCAGGCACAGTAGCTCACGCCTATAATCCCAGCACTTTGGGAGCCGAGGCGAGCGGATCACCTGAGGTCAGGAGTTCGAGACCAGCCTGGCCAACATGGTGAAACCCCATCTCTACTAAAAATACAAACATTAGCCGCTGTGGTGTTGGGCGTCTATAATCCCAGCTACTCGGGAGGCTGAGGCAGGAGAATCTCTTGAACCCGGGAGGCAGAGGCTGCACTGAGCTGAGACCACGCCACTGCACTGCAGCCTGGGGGACAGAGAGAAACTCTGTCTCAAAAAACAAACAAACAAACCCAAAAAACCAACAACAACAGCAACAATAAAAAAACCGTCTATGAAGAAATCGTCGATGAGGTGCCAACAGACTCAGTTATTTTGACTCAATTTCTCAGAACATGCTGGGGCGGGAACTCAGCCTAGCAGTAAGAAAGACGTATATTTAAGGTAAAAGGCTGAAACTAGGGGGAGAGAGAGCCTATAAGGTCTCTGTCCTGGCCTTCAGAGAAGTGGCTCTGTGAGCTACACGATGTGCATATTTTAAGCACTTAACAGCACCGTGAAATCAGAGAAAAGACACAGAGTAGCAAAACCACCCGTTGAGCGTACAAAAGGCCAACCACTTCTTGTCCTCTCATTGCCTCTTGTCCTTAGCAATGAAGACACAAATCACTTGCGTGTCAAGCACTGCCAGGCCAGCCTCTGCCAGGCCAGCCTCTGCCTCCACGGCTGAGCCCAGAAACCAAGGGCGTGGCGGGACTCACAGGCAGGGAGCGGTGAGGCAGAGCTGTCCGCTGGAGCGAGCCCCTGCTCTAGGGCCATGGCCCTCGGGGTCCGTTCATGCAGCAAGCCACATTCTGAATACACCAAGCCAGCCCTTGCAAACCCACAGGAAGCACGGGGTGGCTTTTTAGAGGCACGAGGATCCTTAGATGAAGGGATATGACCCTGGGCCGACACAAGTGCCATTCCGGGTTCAATCACCCTCCTTCCCCCGTCTTCCCAGGCCTCTTTCTCAAACACGTCTTTATGGCTTTTCTTTTTTTTTTAGACAGAGTCTTGCTCTGTCACCCAAGCTAGAGTGCTGCCATTTCGGCTCCCTGCAACCTCTGCCTCCCAGGTTCAAGCCATTCTCCTACCTCAGCCTCCCGAGTAGCTGGAATTACAGGCGCTCGCCACCACGCCCGGCAAAATTTTTTATTTTTAGTGGAGACAGGGTTGGCCAAGCTGGTCTTGAACTCCTGACCTCAGGTGATCCACCCGCCTGGGCCTCCAAAAGTGCTGGGATTACAGCGTGAGCCACCGCGCCCGGCCCTTTATGCCTTTTCTACTTTACACCAGATGCTGTCTCGTTTCATCCTCATGACAACCCTACGTAGTAGCCCCTTCCCCCTGGGCTCAGTTTGCCGATGAAGAGCCTAAGACTCCAGAGCCAAAAGGCGTTGCCTGTGTTCCCTGGGCTGCCAAGGGCGTCGCTGATGCTGGACCTCTGAGTTTCAGCCCCTGCTCTTCCCTGTGCACCTTGCTGGTCGTTGGCCAAAATTTGGCTGATGTTCCTGGCAGGACCTCTTGTCCAGGGATCCTTTCCTTTTGAGTGTCCTGGAGCACAGTGGGGTTTCCCAGAGGGGCAGAGGGGTCTGTGGAGAGTTTTGGTGTCCTCGGTGGCAAGTTGAGGTGGCCTGTCCCAGACTGACAGATAGACCGGGGGTTCTCCGAGGAGGGGCCCATAAAGACCCTTCCCCGTGGAGTGCGCTGTGGCCGGCGTCCCCTCCCCTGCCTGCCCTGCACTTGCTCCAGCCTGTCACCTCCCTGGGGTCACTGATAGTGCTGGAGACCAAGGCCTATTTCGACCCAGTTGCCTTTCCCTGTGGCATGGAACCAGGACGGCCAGGCTTCCTTCTGAGTCATTCCTGCCTGGGGCGACCAGTAGACACCAAATTTCCATCTGTCCTTGTCTAGCCCACCTCTGTCTGCTGTGCCTTATCCTTTAACCCTTGAGAGCCAGGGCTGTTCCTTAAGGAAACCCTCATTGCGGCAGCTCCTTTGTGGAAACCCTGTGTTTTTCCTCTGGCCTGGGCTTCAGTGTGACCCAGCCTGGGTGAGGGTCCTGCCGGCAAGTGTGCAAACAGACCCTAGACTCAAGTATAGGCAGGTCATCTGTAAACCCCTTCAGGGAGCCAAAAGGAACGGGGCTGGCTGGCTGCCAGTCCTCCAGCAGCTGCCCTGTGGGGGTGGGGGCTGCCCACCCGCCCTTGGTGACTGCTTTTCCTGCCAAGGCCCTGGTCATGCCCGGTCAGATGTGTGGGTGCCATCTCCCAGCCACGACCATCTCCTCTCCTGGCCCAGCTCCACTTGGTCCCCTTAGCGACGCAAAGGACTCAGCGCTCCACGACATGCCTAGCTTCTTCGGGTCGTCATGGAGACGCCCTTGCACACCAACAGTCCTTCACTCCTTCTCCGGGTCACGCCCCCGTGCTTTTCCACGCCCACCCCAGGTCTTGCCCCTCTGCGCTCCTCTCCACAGACCCCACTTCCTGGCTCCACATGGAGCTGAGTGTCCAGCTGGTACCCAGCACATTTGGGCTCAGCTTTAAATCACAGATTTGGAAACTCAAGAACTTGGGCGTCAGGAGGTCCAACCGTTCACCACTGCTTTTTACACAGGGGACCGGGGCCCTGGGGAGACACGGGGCAGGGCCTGGTCACAGGGGCCAGAACAGTTCACGGCAAAGACTTGGCCCTGGGGCTCCTAAATCCAAGCTGCCTCCCCGGCGCCCCAAGCCCCAGCCTCGCTCTGGGAGTCATGATTCCCGTGGAGACTCCTTCAACCACATCTGCAGGGCAGGGCCGTGTGGCGGCTCCTTCCGGCCTCCACGTCCTCACGGTGGGATGAGCACTGGAGCGGGGTTGTGTGGCCAGGGTGGGGTGGGGGTGCTGGAGGGTGGGGAGGTGTAGGGAGGTGGTGGCAGTTTCCTTTGCCCTCAGCCTAGTCCTGAAACATCCCGAGGTGGAAGGGTCCGCTTCACCAGCATGGCTTCTCTTGCAGCCTTTAAACGGCACTCGCCTTCTGACTCACTCCCAGGAAGCTCCTCAAATATGCGCCCAAGAAATATTTTCCCTCGGCGACTGTTCTTAGCCTGCTGAGAGGCAGGGCAGGAGCTGAGACTCTAACCCCAGCTTGAACTCTGGACCCCAGACTCTCCCCCAAAGACTCAGACACCCAGAAACACAGAATAAAACTTGGTCCTGAAGCCAGAGGGACAGCCTGGAAAGTGTGGGGAAGAGGACGGGGGCCCCCGAGGGAACATCTCCCACAGGCCTGGCATCCCTCCCCTCCCAGCTCTGTACACGGAGGAGCCCAAGGCCAATGCCGGGGCTACGAGCCCCAGGCAAGGCCGTGACCCAAATGGAGGCTTTTAAACCCGAGCTCAGAGGTAAGAAGCCCACGGCCAGCACCTCCCGGCCCTCTGCGCCCTGGCCGCCTCCTCCGCACCACCCTCCCGGCCGGCCTGCCCCTCTCCTCCTTGTCGCTTCCCTTGCTTGCTGCTGTCTCCCGATCTTCTCCTCTCTCCATTCCCAGGGTCCTCAGTTTGTCTGCGTCTCACCTGTCTCGTCCTCTCACCCTGCAGCTTTACATGAGTTTTCTTCCGTCTCCATCACCCAGCTTTCCTGGCATCCCCTCTACCCCCAGCTCTGTACACAAGGGTGTACATCTTTCTCCTTGACTCTGTTCCTCTTGCTCTGGCTCTGCCTGTCTTTCTCTCTGCGAGTAAGCCTGGGCTCTCACCATGGATCCTTCCAGACATCGCCGGGCTGCTCTCTGGCCCTCTGTTCTCTTTTCTCTCTCTTTCGAGCATTCTCCCTCTGTCTTTCCCCTCAGATCTTGTCCCGTATCTGCCAGTTCATGCCTCCTCTTCCCCACTTTTCTCCTCTTCTTATTTTTTATTTTATTTTATATTTATTTATTTATTTATTTATTTATTTATTTATTTATTTATTTTGAGACAGAGTCTCGCTCTCTCTCCCAGGCTGGAGTGCAGTGGCGCGATCTTGGCTCACTGCAACCTCCACCTCCCAGGTTCAAGTGATTCTCCTGCCTCAGACTCCTGAGTAGCTGGAATTACAGGTGGGGCCCACCACGACCGGCTAATTTTTGTATATTTAGTAGAGACGGGGTTTCACCATGTCGGCCAGGCTGGTCTCGAACTCCTGACCTCAGGTGATCTCCTGCCTTGGCCTCCGAAAGTGCTGGGATTACAGGCATGAGCCACCGCGCACGGCCTCCACTCTTCTTTCTCTCTCCCTCTTCTCTTCCTCTTCTTTCCCTCTCTGGGTCTCTCTCCACCTTCCCCCCATGTTGTCCCATTCATCTCTTTCTCCTTTCCCTCTCCCTCTTTTTCTCTCCCTTCTCTTCCTCTTCGCTGTCTCCCTTTCCCCTATTCTCTCTCTCTCTCTCTCTGTCTCCCCGGACCTCTTTCTCTGACAGCTCCCACCTCCCCCAAGTGCTCCCCGCAGCCAGCCTCATCTGCTGTCTCCATCACTTACCTGGGACCACATGCGGAAGGAGGCAGAGACACAGGCAGCTCAGGGACACCCAGGGGACCCTCCTCCAGCGTGCCCCCTTCATGGCTGCGGCAAAAGTCCCCCTGGCTCCCTGGGGAAGCTCCACGGCCCAGCAGCTGCAGTGTGAGGAGCAGACGTGAGCCCGTCCCCTCAGGCGGCTGGCCCGAACCAAGTGCGTTTCTCCGAAGGGGCCAGGGAACCTGGGAAGAGGACAAAAGAGGGCGGGGCCCCACGCTAATCACCCTTTTCTCTCCTCAGCCCCACCCCACTACCCCACCAGGAAAGAAAACACCGATACACCCGTTGCTCTGCTTCTCATCAGCCTGAGCTGAGTGGCGGGAGGGATGGGAGGAGACATGGGGGAATGGGAACAGGTCACACTGGAAATGGGTGGGCCACCCTCCTAGCCGGGTTCCTGGGTCCTCTCCTCCCTCCCCAGGGGCTGCCCCTGTCCCACCAGAGCTTTGGGCTGCTGGGAAGAATGGGGAAGAAAGGGCCCCAGAGGGAGCGACCTTGGGGCTGTATGAATGGGGGAAAGAGAGTGAGACTTAAGCAGACCCCAAGGAATTGGGAAGCGGGGAACCATGTGGGTGAGGGGCAGGAACAGAAATGCACTGTATGCCGTCTTTTGGAAAGGGGTGGTGTGCTTGGAATATCTGCTCAGTGCAGGCGCGTGGCAGACCCCAGACGCGTGGCAGACCCCAGACGCGTGGCAGACCCCAGACGCGTGGCAGAACCTCAGTGCAGATGCGTGGCAGACCCCAGACGCACGGCAGATCCCAGACACATGGCAGACCCCAGACCCATGGCAGACTCCAGACGCGTGGCAGACCCCAGACGCGTGGCAGACTCCAGACGCATGGCAGAACCTCAGTGCAGACTCGTGGCAGAACCTCAGTGCAGACGCATGGCAGACCCCAGATGCGTGGCAGACCCTCACCAGATGGTGGACTTCTTCTTTCCAGGGCAGGGAGCTGGAGCCAGGGTGCAGGGAGCCAGGGACAGTCTGGGAGACTGGCCTGAGGGAGCTGGCATGGGCAGTGGGTTGAAGGCAGAACCTCGGTAGGAGGAAGCGACTGTAACCTGTGAGGAGGTGGAGCTGCTCCTGGAGACCTGGGGGCTCTGCTCACCCCAGTTCCACCTCTTGGAACTCACAGGCACAAGCGAGGAGGGAAAGGGACCCCAAGTAGGGTTGTAAAGACGAAGAGGGCAGTTGGTGTAGCTCTCTGCAAAGGAAAACGGGGATACCTCCGCTCCCCTCTTTGCCACAGTGTGAATCTCTGCTTCTGATTCCTCAAGACTTGATTCCCGAATGTGGGGTGTCTGTGGGGTGACTCGTCCCAGAGCAGGGACCTTCGATGCTCAGACACTGTGGGGCCCAGGACAAGGACTCAGGGTTTCTGCATTCCCAAGCAGAGCCAGCCTTGTCCAGCAAGGAGTAGGCAACCGACGCTGTGGCGCTGTCTCCGAGGGTCACGGAGGCCCTGTGACCACTTGCTTCTAGAAGCTGAAAGTCTGTTCATGGCCCCAGGCCAAAGCCTGGGCCACGCCATAATAATGCGGATACCGTGGGGAAGTGGCGTGGTCCCCCAACAGTCCCTCCAGCTCTGGGTGGACGAGCTGACCCTGTTCTTTCCTGGAGGTAAGAAAATCATAAAGGTAAAGAGTCATGTGGAGCATCCTGTGGGCGCCTGGACGGGGCAGCAGGAGGGACCTACTGCAGGGAATTCGCAGACACCAAGGCCCAGCTTGGCCTTCGTGATCATTTTGCACTTTTTTTTTTTTTTGAGATGGAGTCTTGCTCTGTCGCCCAGGCTGGAGTGCAGTGGCACCATCTCAGCTCACTGCAAGCTCCGCCTCCCGGGTTCACGCCATTCCCCTGCCTCAGCCTCCCTAGTAGCTGGGACTACAGGCACCTGCCACCACGCCCGGCTAATTTTTTTTGTATTTTTAGTAGGGACGAGGTTTCACCATGTTGGCCAGGTTGGTCTCGAACCCCTGAACTCAGATGATCCGCCCGCCTTGGCCTCCCAAAGTGCTGGGATTACAGGCGTGAGCCACTGCACCCGGCCCGTGGTCATTTTTCTGTCAGCTCTTGCTCGTGGGTCCCCCCATTACCTTTCCACAGGTTTTGTTTGGTGACGCTTTCAGGACAACAGTTTTCCATCTCTAGAGGAGAAAGGAGCATCCAGGTGAGACCAAACTAAGCGCTGGACATCTTGTTGACCGAACACAGGTAGCTGACCTCTTTCCCATGCCAGGAAGGCCAGAGGCACACAGCGCTCTCCGGAAGCTGCTGTGACGGCCGAGACTCCAGGAGGGCGTTACAAACCTGGGCTTGATCCCAGCTCTGCCACCGCGTCACCACAAAGTCACAGCCTCTTCGAGCTGTTTTCCTCGTTCACCTGTAAAATGGGGATAACACCTATCTGAAAGGTTGTAGGGTGGGAGTGAGCCTGTAGATGCTGAGGGGCTGCGGGAGTATTAGGACACCTGTTGTGAGGACACCTGTTGTTACGACACCTGTTGTGAGGACACCTGTTGTGGAGGACACCTGTGGAGGAACGTGGCTCCTCCTTCCATCCGGGCATCATCCCTGGAGGGAGACACAAACGAGGGCCAGCCAGGATACAGGAGGAGTCCGGAAGTGAATTTCCAGGCCCAGGTCTTTCCTGCGTCCCCTTTGAGTCTTATAGGATCCTGATTAGGAGCGTGAGATCCTGGAGAACTGGGCGTGCGCACTCCTGTTCACCTCTTCCCTGCCCACGCCCGTTTCCCTTCTGCTTTCCAGCTCCCCTCAATATGCCCATTTTCCAGAGTTAGGATGTGTCTGGGTCTCTGTGATAAATGGCTCTGTCTTCATCTGGGTTGGGTCACGGGACACCCATTTGTCCTTCCTTCTCTCCTCCCAAGGCATCCGATGGGGACAGAATGGGGTGAATGAGAGGGGACAAAATGAGTGGCTTCTCTAGTTCCTTGTGGCCGAAAAACCTCCTAGGCCCGCATACTGCTGGGTCTGCATAGGGGCAGGAGTCTGAAGTCAGGTGTAAGTTAATATTCCACGGGAGGCAGGAAGAGCTTAGTGTGGATGTGGGGTGTAAGTAAATTGGAGCAAGGATAAGATCATGAGATTCTCCCAGACTTGGCTTGAAGAGACAGCTGGGTTTGAGGCAGCAAAGCCAGGATCTCCAAGAGAGATTCCCCTTCTAAGCTACCCAAGTAGGAGTCCCTAGTTTTTTGGGTCCCCTAAAATTGCTTACCTTTATATCATTTATGCCTCGTGCTGTGAATAAAGTTCAATCTTGTCAGACTTAGGACAACTAGGCTGATCTCGAGCAGGAAGCTGGATGTTTATTAAGTCTGATTTACCTACTCAGTCTGGACTAAAAAGGTGTGTGGATTCCCTAGTCAGTGACCCAGCATGAAGCCGGTCACTAGAGTGCCAGGCCCTGAGCCTGTCCCCATGGCCCTGTGAAGTACAAAGCGCTGCCCTACCTCTCAAGTGAGCACGCTGAGGCTCCAGGAGCTTCATCATCCCCGAGTCACCGGCCAGGTCGGGCCATCTAGGGAAACTGGAGAGTGTTAACTCCGCAGTTACAGCCTTCTGGGCCACACACTGTCCCAAAGCTGGAATTTGAGCTCTGTTCTGCCTGGCTCCAAAGCAAAAGAAGGGCAATCACCTGGGCTGACCGCCCACGACATCCTTCGCTCCGGGTCCTTTCCCGGTGGCAGGTGGAGACGGCCTTTTGGAGGGGCCTCGCTGTCCAGCTGCAAGGATAGTGGTTAGTGGACAGCTCCCAGCTGCTGGCCCCTGCAGGGTGGGCCTTGCTTTTATGCTGAGCTCATGCTCTTCTCCAGGTGACCCTGTGGCCGATGACTAAGCAAAGTGGCATCACAGTGACCTCACCATTTCCACCCCACAAGACTCCGCCAACAGGCAGTCTGCCCCTCAGAGCGCCCCATGGGCAGGAGCTTTGTGGCTGTGTCAGCTGTGCCACATCCTCCTGCCCAGCCCGGCCTCCTTCTTCTTACACAGGTGCCACATCCTCCTGCCCAGCCCGGCCTCCTTCTCCTTACGCAGGTGCCACATCCTCCTGCCCAGCCCGGCCTCCTTCTCCTTACGCAGGTGCCACATCCTCCTGCCCAGCCCGGCCTCCTTCTCCTTACGCAGGTGCCACATCCTCCTGCCCAGCCCGGCCTCCTTCTCCTTACGCAGGTGCCACATCCTCCTGCCCAGCCCGGCCTCCTTCTCCCTACGCAGGTGCCACATCCTCCTGCCCAGCCCGGCCTCCTTCTCCTTACGCAGGTGCCACATCCTCCTGCCCAGCCCGGCCTCCTTCTCCTTACGCAGGTGCCACATCCTCCTGCCCAGCCCGGCCTCCTTCTCCTTACGCAGGTGCCACATCCTCCTGCCCAGCCCGGCCTCCTTCTCCTTACGCAGGTGCCACATCCTCCTGCCCAGCCCGGCCTCCTTCTCCTTACGCAGGTGCCACATCCTCCTGCCCAGCCCGGCCTCCTTCTCCTTACACAGGTGCCACATCCTCCTGCCCAGCCCGGCCTCCTTTTCCTTACACAGGTGCCACATCCTCCTGCTCAGCCCGGCCTCCGCCCTTCTCCTTACGCAGATGCCACATCCTCCTGCCCGGCCCGGCCTCCTTCTCCTTACCAGGTGCCACATCCTCCGCCCAGCCTGGCCTCCGCCCTTCTCCTTACCAGGTGCCACATCCTCCTGCTCAGCCTGGCCTCCGCCCTTCTCCTTACAAGGTGCCACATCCTCCTGCTCAGCCTGGCCTCCGCCGTTCTCCTTACCAGGTGCCACATCCTCCTGCCCAGCCTGGCCTCCGCCCTTCTCCTTACGAGGTGCCACATCCTCCTGCCCAGCCTGGCCTCCGCCCTTCTCCTTACGAGGTGCCACATCCTCCTGCCCAGCCTGGCCTCCGCCCTTCTCCTTACCAGGTGCCACATCCTCCTGCTCAGCCTGGCCTCCGCCCTTCTCCTTACCAGGTGCCACATCCTCCTGCCCGGCCCGGCCTCCTTCTCCTTACGCAGGTGCCACATCCTCCTGCCCGGCCTCCTTCTCCTTACCAGGTGCCACATCCTCCTGCCCAGCCCGGCCTCCTTCTCCTTACCAGGTGCCACATCCTCCTGCCCAGCCCGGCCTCCTTCTCCTTACGCAGGTGCCACATCCTCCTGCCCGGCCCGGCCTCCTTCTCCTTACACAGATGCCACATCCTCCTGCCCGGCCCGGCCTCCTTCTCCTTACCAGGTGCCACATCCTTCTGCCCGGCCCGGCCTCCTTCTCCTTACCGGGTGCCACATCCTCCTGCCCGGCCTCCTTCTCCTTACCAGGTGCCACATCCTCCTGCCCGGCCCGGCCTCCTTCTCCTTATGCAGGTGCCACATCCTCCTGCCCGGCCTCCTTCTCCTTACCAGGTACCACATCCTCCTGCCCAGCCCGGCCTCCTTCTCCTTACCAGGTGCCACATCCTCCTGCCCAGCCCGGCCTCCTTCTCCTTACGCAGGTGCCACATCCTCCTGCCCGGCCTGGCCTCCTTCTCCTTACACAGATGCCACTTCCTCCTGCCCGGCCCGGCCTCCTTCTCCTTACAAGGTGCCACATCCTCCTGCCCAGCCCGGCCTCCTTCTCCTTACCAGGTGCCACATCCTCCTGCCCGGCCCAGCCTCCTTCTTCTTACCAGGTGCCACATCCTCCTGCCCGGCCCGGCCTCGTTCTCCTTACACAGGTGCCACATCCTCCTGCCCGGCCCGGCCTCCTTCTCCTTACCAGGTGCCACATCCTCCTGCCCAGCCCGGCCTCCTTCTCCTTAAGCAGGTGCCACTCCCCTATAGCCTTCACATTCCTTCCACCAACTCAGCATTTGCTTCTGGGAGGACCCGACCCGAGACACTCACGTAAAAGAGGATGCCCACGTACAGATGTGGCAGCAGGCCCTCCGAGCTGGGATTCAGACCCAGGTCAGCACGACTCCAAAATCTTTCCTCCTCTGCAGCTCCTTATTCCATGGTTCAGCAGGGAGGCGGGCGGGCTGGAGGCCCCGGCACCTGCTGTATGTGGTCTCTATCCGAGGCCATGGTGAAAGCAGGGAGGTGGGTGGGCTGGGGGCCCAGCACCTGCTGTATGTGGCCTCTATCTGAGGCCATGGCGAAAGCAGGGGCCCTGGTACTAGGGTCACACAAAGGCCACTGTCATTCTCTTGGGATTCGGTTTCTCCTTTCCCTAAAAGTGCCAAGCATTCTCACGCCAATTAGCTCATTTCCTGTCTCATCTCACCTCTGTGGTGGAGCAGGGCATGATTTTTACGCATGCAACGTCTTCTTACGGGCATCCCTGTGAAGCAGGGCCACCCCGGGGCACAGGAGGGCCTGGAGGTCCAGGGATCTAAACTCATTCCATTCACCCAGCCTTAAGGAGAAGAAAACCGAGGCCAGGAAGTCAGCAAGAACATGAAGTCGGTGACCCAGCATCCAGGTCCCCGGATTTGCCACCTGTGTCCTTTTGTGGGGCTTCCCTTTGTAAAGCTTGAAAGAATAAGAGGATCTTAACATAATTTTAAAACTGGAAGAGACCCTGGTGACCATGTCATCCGAAGCCCTCATTCTACCGTGGAGGAGGTGTGGGCCCAGAGAGAAGGGAGGTCCTTGTTGGCGCAGCCGGTGAGCGGCAGGGTGTGTCCCGGAGCCCGGGTTTCCAGCGCCCTCTCTGTCTTGCTGCCGAGCGTCCACGTCTGTTCGGTTGTCTTTGCACACTCCTGGCTCCCAGTTAGACCGCTGCTCCCAGGCGGAACGTCTGCCACAGGGGACACGTACATGCGGCCACCATGGGGACTGAATGAGGGTGGGCCCACAAAGCTCTCCAACGCGGGGTTCTGACAGAAAGCCCAACCCGGGCCGAAAGCCATCTTTTAAAATGAAGTTTACTGGGTTTCTTTTTTCATTATAAAGTAATGCACACTGTCCACAGAGATATGAAAATATTTAAAAGTAGAGAGAAGAAAAACATCATCAATGTTTCACCACCCAGGAACAACCCTATTAACGCGTTGAGAGATTTCTGGCTTGTTTCTCATACATAGCTCATATCCATAGTTTAAATCTATCATATCCTAGATATAGTTTGATCTCCTCTTTACCACCTAACTTTATTTATTTATTTATTTATTCATTTTTATTATTTATTTATTTATTTTGAGACAGAGTCTCGCTCTGTCACCCAGGCTGGAGTGCAGTGGTGCGATCTTGGCTCACTGCAACCTCCGCCTCCTGGGTTCACGCCATTCTCCTGCCTCAGCCTCCCGAGTAGCTGGGATTATAGGCTCGTGCCCCCATGCCTGGCTAATTTTTGTATTTTCAGTAGAGACGGGGTTTCACCATGTTGGTCAGGCTGGTCCCAAACTCCTGACCTTGTGATCCGCCCGCCTCAGCCTCCCAAAGTGCTGGGATTACAGGCGTGAGCCACTGCGCCGGGCCATGACCTAGCTTTAAACCTAAAAGTCTCCCCAATTATTATAAAACTCCATTCACACATTTCTGAAGGCCACGTGATACTGCATTGGCTGCCACCATAACTGAACTAACTTGGACACTGGGTTATTCACGGCGTCCCTGTTACAGGTAATGCCCGGATCAGAGGCTTTGTACCCAAAGTGCCTTCTGTGTTCAGGATCATTTCCTGAACCTGGAAGCAGAGCTGGTGTGTTCTGATCGGCGGCTCTGACCCTCCTTCTACAGTCAGAAGTCCATAAACATGAGCTTGCTCTGTCCAGGATGTCGGCACTTTTTTGGACACTTGTGATCAATTAACCCTTTTAATGTTGATGGTCTAATGGCGGAAGCAGAGCTGACAATGGGGCCGGGCGCTGTGGCTCACGCCTGTAATCCCAGCACTTTGGGAGGCCGAGGCGGGCAGATCACCTGAGGTCGGGAGTTCAAGACCAGCCTGACAAACATGGAGAAACCCCATCTCTACTAAAAATACAAACTTAGTAGAAATGTTGGTGGTGTGCACCTGTAGTCCCAGCTACCTGGGAGGCTGAGGGAGGAGAATCACTTGAACCTGGGAGGCGGAGGTTGCAGTGAGCTGAGATCACACCACTGCACTCCAGCCTGGGCAACAAGAGCGAAACTCCGTCTTGAAATAATAAAATAAAATAAATAGAATAATTACTCCGGAAGCCTAAAAATGATGGGTGGATTAAAGACTCTGCAGGTGGGTGGGGAAAAGGTGGAGAACCCCTTCCCATCCCAGCTCTTTCCTGGGTGAGCTCCCAGCTATGATCCAGGACCAACTGCCAGGCTTCTCATTTTGATACTGGACACTATGCTTAGCCCAGCGACTGTCCTGAAGAAAGTGATCCAGACAAAATTTGAACAGAGAAAGAAGGCAGTGAGATTAGCCCATCAGGCTGGAAAGTGAGACTTGTTCCTTGTTCCCCTTGCTCCCTGGGGAGAGGAGGCACCAGCTGAAGCTGGCCAGGGGACAGAAGAGGGGTCTGGTGAGCTCTGCTCCCCGGTGTGCAGGGGAGGCAGAATGCAGGCAGAGGAGCAGCCTGACAATGCGACGGACACATTACCACGTGGCCCTATGTGCCCTCACGGGGTCACGAGCTAGTGGAATCTAAACATGGAGAGAGGATCATTTAGCAACAGGGTCTGTGGCCCTGGGCATGACTGTGTGCCAGGCAACAGACAAGCCTCAGTGAGGGCCATCCAGGAAGGCCTCTGCCTTAGTGCTCACAAACTCGGTGGCTTCAAACAAACAGGAATTTATTCTTTCACAGTTTGGAACCCAGAAGTCCAAAATCAAGGCGTGGGCAGAACCACACTCCCTCCGGAGGTTCTGGGGTGGAGCCCTCCTGGCCTCTCTCCTGGTTTCCAGGGGTGGCTGGCCATTCTCCGCATTCCCGGGCTGGCAGCCGTGTCCCTCCAGCCTCTGCCTCCATCGTGTTGTGTGGCCATCTTCTCCCCTGTGCGTGTGTCTCTGTTTCCTCTTCTCATAAGGACACCAGTCACTGGATTAGGCTCTGCCTCAATTCGGCATGACCTCAGTTTAACTTAACTAATAACCTCTGCAAAGACCCTATTTCCAAATAAGGTCACATTCTGAGTGACATGAATTTTGGGGGACACGTACTCACCCCAGTACAACCTCCTTGAAGAAAATTTGGGGCAGGGTAGGTGTATGGGTCATGACAATAGATGATTCTTGCCGAATGATGACCTATTTGGGAAGACCAGCAGGTGTGCCCACATCACCCTGGGCTGGCTCTGGAAATCCCCCAAATCTCGGCTCTTGTCACCACTGAGTCAGGAGCCAGGCGGCATGACCAAGGGACCAGCTTGACTATTCCTCGATCTAACTTCTTGGATCATGAGGCCAGGCAGATGGCAGCCCCAGGAGCCCTCAGCTGTAGCTCATCAGGCCCGTGCTGAGACCACCCCCTCCCCTGCCCAGGAGGGCAGAAAAGCAGGGCCCAGGCAGCAGTGGCCACACCTGCCTCAGTGGTTTCAGCCCTGCTCTCTCAAAGGTTGACCTGCTATTGACTGGAAGGTATCACATTCCCTTGTTTCCTTCTGTAACCAGAGAAGAAGGTAAGGGGTAAGGGTGGGAGAGGGGAGAGAGACAGGACAGTATATCTAAAAATAAACGTACCCCACCTCAACCTCAAGCATTGCACAGAAAGGTGTGTCCGCCTGCTCTTCACCCGCCTGTGACCCCCGCATTCCCTCCAGGTGAGCAGGAGCCCGACCTAGACACTCTCTTTAGCCTACACATGCCAGACTCTCCCTTTAGAGGAAAAAGGGACTTCTCACCAAGCCACACCCCTTGAAACTGCTTCCTCGGGTGCACCTGGAGTGTTCTCACTCCTCGGCCCCAGTTCCCACTCACACTTCCTGGAGCTGGAGGAGGGGGCAAGAGGGTGATGCGTCATAAGCCTGCATGGACATTGTCACTGAAATGAAAGCTCAGCTTCCAGGGTCCGGAGACGGCTTTGGCCCCAAGGTGCCAGGGACAGCATAAGCTGCCGGGACCTGGCGAGGCCCAGGGGGCGAGCCTTCGGGCAACATCTAGCCTGGCACTCCTGGTTTCGTGCTGGAGGAGCAGGGTGAGAGAGGGGCTACTGTTGAGCTGTAGGAGGCAGAGTGGGTGCTGGGGGAAAGAGCAGGAGCTTTGGAGTCACTGTGGGCAAGCCACTTCCTAGCTGAGCCTCAGTCTCCATGTCTGCACAGTGGGGAGAGTAGACGTAATTCCTATTAGCTTAGTACGTCGTAGATTCTCAGCAAATGTTAGCGTCCCCACGCCACCGCCCCCCAGATGTGGGCATGGAAAGAGAAACAAACTATTTGGAAGGAGAGTCTGGGGTTGTTCTGGGTGGAGGGCCAGGTCATAGACATGATGTGGTGGCAATGCCTGATTCTGGCTGAGGGAATCATTCTGGAATGGTGAGGGGGTGGATCTGGCCACAGGGCTCAGGAGACTATTGTCGTCTCAGGGGTCCTCACAAAGTGGCTGGGCCAGGTGAGCTGGTGTTTCTTATATGCGGGTAAAGGTGTTGCTCGTATGCAGGTAAAGGTGTTTCTCGTATGCGGGTAAAGGTGTTTCTCGTATGCGGGTAAAGGTGTTTCTCGTATGCGGGTAAAGGTGTTTCTCGTATGCGGGTAAAGTGTTTCTCATGCAGGTAAAGGTGTTTCTCATATGTGGGTAAAGGTGTTTCTGATATGCAGGTGAAGGTGTTTCTCATATGCGGGTAAAGGTGATTCTCACATGCGGGTAAAAGGTGTTTCATGCAGCAGTTGGCAAGTTGGTAACTTCTTCAAGCCCTGTGATTTCGAGATGGGGAGAGAAGTCTGTGAGAATGCAGTTTTGAGAAGCAGAAGCAATGAGGTCGCATCAGCCTACTGCCGAGCATAACACACAAGGGCAAAGAAGACGGGGGTCTGGGATTGGAGGGCTTCTTAAAATTCTGACACTAGACCAACTTTCCAAGTTGTTAAAGCCTGCAGACCCCAGATGTAATCTGTCAGTGTGAGAGGAGTTAAATGTCAGCTCCAATATCTACATTATAATAATTGATACATATTACCTAATAATCAATATATTGTGATGTTATATCATAGCATTTATTACATACAACACAGTTACTATTATATTAGCTTCATCTACATGTGAGATCTGCTTTTTAAAAAACTTACTTTATTTTTTATAGAGATAGGGTCTTACTTTGTTGCCCAGGCTGGTCTTTTTTTTTTTTTTTTTTTTTTTTGAGACAGAGTCTCACTCTGTTGCCCAGGCTGGAGTGCATGATCTCTCTGCCTCCCGGATTCAAGCGATTCTCCTGCCTCACCCTCCTGAGTAGCTGGGATTACAGGCGTGCGCCACCACGCCCAGGTAATTTTTGTATTTTTAGTAGAAACGGGGTTTCACCATGCTGGCCAGGCTGGTCTCAAGCCCCTGACCTCAAGTGATCCACCCGCCTCGGCCTCCCAAAATGCTGGGATTACAGGCATGAGCCACCACGCCTGGCCAAGATTCACTTAAAAAAAAAAAACTGCTTTAAAAACATTCATAAGCCGTTATTGCCTGGAGAGTCTTTGAATGTGTCACACCCTTTAACACGCAGGAGCAGCCAATCCCCAAAGCCCTGGTCACGTGATGACAATTAGGCCACCTACCCTCCGTTATTCTGGCCCCTCTGCCAAGAGGCAGGCCCTCACCCAACTGACCCTACCAGCGCAGGGGCCTGAGTGCGGCTCTCCAAAGAAACTTGATGTTGGCATTCAGCCACAAGCCCGGCTCTCAGAGGAACCTGGTGTGGGAAAGACGCCCCACCTCCAGCCCCTGTGCCGTCAGAGTCAAGATCACTGTACTTTGCATAAAGTATTAGGAAAAAACCCAAATTCTTGCTCTTTGATTAGAGCCTCTCCTTCTTTCCCCACCAGCCCTCTGCAGAAGCAAGAGGCAAAACTAAAACTCAGGTGTTTTTATCCGTGAGTCTGTGTTTCTGTGTAAGTGATCTATGCATTTAAAAACCAATAACTTACTTTATCCTTCTCAGGACCTGAAGTATGGTCTTTCATCAGATGCCTACAGAGGGTAGGAAGGCCAGGAAGAGGTGGGGAGGGCAGGAGGGGAGCGCTGAACAAATGTAGAGGTTGGATCCAGGCGTGCGGATCAGACCTTGAACTAAGGAGCCATGGAGAGCACAGAGCCCCCAGGGACACGGGAAGACGGTTGTCCTGGGTAGATGGCAGCTCCAGAAGCCCCCAGCTGTGCCTCATCAGGCCCATGCTGAGACTACGGTCTCCTCTGCCCAGGAGGGCCACAGACAAGTGGAGAAAGCAGAAAAGCAGGGCCTGGGTGGCGCTGGCCTCACCTGCCTCCATGAGGCGGACAGGAGCCTCGCAGCCGTGGACGCAGCCCAGGCCAAGCCATGCAGGGAGTAGTAACAAGAATAAATGAAGCCGTGAAGCCAGGGCCCCTTTGGCGCTTGTGCAACCGCCAACCTGCGTAGTTCTGTGAGCACTGGGACACGTGTTGGTGCTGACTCATCAAAATCCCGGGACTGTGTGGTTTTGGACACTGCTGGAGTCCAGGTGCCCTGTGTGGTTTTGGGCACTGCTGGAGTCCAGGTGCCCTGTGTGGTTTTGGGCACTGCTGGAGTCCAGGTGCCCTGTGTGGTTTTGGGCACTGCTGGAGTCCAGGTGCCCTGTGTGGTTTTGGGCACTGCTGGAGTCCAGGTGCCCTGTGTGGTTTTGGGCACTGCTGGAGTCCAGGTGCCCTGTGTGGTTTTGGGCACTGCTGGAGTCCAGGTGCCCTGTGTGGTTTTGGGCACTGCTGGAGTCCAGGTGCCCTGTGTGGTTTTGGGCACTGCTGGAGTCCAGGTGCCCTGTGTGGTTTTGGGCACTGCTGGAGTCCAGGTGCCCTGTGTGGTTTTGGGCACTGCTGGAGTCCAGGTGCCCTGTGTGGTTTTGGGCACTGCTGGAGTCCAGGTGCCCTGTGTGGTTTTGGGCACTGCTGGAGTCCAGGTGCCCTGTGTGGTTTTGGGCACTGCTGGAGTCCAGGTGCCCTGTGTGGTTTTGGACACTGCTGGAGTCCAGGTGCCCTGTGTGGTTTTGGGCACTGCTGGAGTCCAGGTGCCCTGTGTGGTTTTGGGCACTGCTGGAGTCCAAGTGCCGCTGGGGCTGCCTCGGGGAGGAGGAAAGTTTCCAGAAGAGCTTACGGAAGAGCCTGCGGCTTGGGAGCAGCATCCCCCAGCTCGCGTGCTGGGTGGGAAGTGCCGAGGGGCTGTGCAGAGGGCTCTCGTGTTTGGGGATTTTCTCGGGACGGCTGTTTTCTACTTGAAATGGGGGTCCTGGAGTTCATGGGGAATGAGAGAGGTGAGCGGGAGCCAGAACGGGAAAGTCCTTGTCCGGGGGCTTCCGCAGGAGCCCCCTTGGCCCCTGGCCAGACACTTCCAGCTTCCCTCTGGCCCCAGAGATTCCCCTCGGGGTCAGGCCCTGCCTACCTGCCTCGGCCTCGCGGTCGCCTTCCTGCCCCTCAGGAAGCCCTGCCAAGGTCCCCTGAAGGCCCGCATGCTTGCCCGGAGGAGGCCGCTCCTCATGTTGCCCCAGGGACTGCCCCCAAGGCTTCCTTCTTCAGGGAAGAGGCGGCTCTTGGCCAGGGAGTTGTTGGGGCTGTTTCCAACCCAGGCAAACCTTCGCTTCCTCTCCTGCCCTCCTGCCCCGGGTTTTTCCCCAGACAGACCTACGGGTGCCAGTGCCAGTACGGGTGCCAGTGCCCCAGCCTCGCCTCCCCTGCAGCTCCCTCCTGGGCCAGGCCGAACACCATCGTTTCACAGTCCACTTACTGAGCTGAGAAGACCTCCTCGTATGAAGATCTGGGAAGGCCTGAGCTTTCACCGGCCTGCAAGCTCACGGGCGAGCCTGCCATGGTTGAAGGACGCTGGCAGAAGACCAGAGACCCTGGCCCAGGGCAGAGGACTCTGTCACTCACGGCACGGCACGTTGCTCAGTGTGAACGAGCTTCCTCTTCACTCCCGTTTCCTTTGCTCCCCAAACCCCACGGGGGCTACGCAGAGGCCCAGGTGGATTCTGTGGCACAGCTGGGTTTGCCTCACCGCCGGGGATCCCCGTGCTTAGGAAACGCCGGACTGTCATGAGGGGCTGCGAAGCAAACCTGCCCAACCTTTCCCGGGGGTGGACGTCGTCTTTGTTACACTGGACAGCGAGCAAATCTCGCTTCTGCCCCAGAGGGAGACGCTGTCCCTGCGCGCCGAGACTTTCACTATATACACGTCCTTGACGAGAGTCCAGAGCAAAAGGCCGTCGGCGCATCTGCTCCTGAGACTTGCAGAAACGTGGGGAACCAGTGAAAAATTGTCTCCGACATCCGAGACCCAGAGGAAGCCCAGGCCAACGGGCGCAGGGTGCTGGCTTTTCCGCTGCCTTAGGTTTCACCGCGGGTGCCGTCTAGCCCCGTCCCCCACGTCTCCGTGGCCAGCACAGGGCCCGAAATGAGACCGCTCATAAATAACTGAAAAAATCACACTTACCTCAGATTGTACCCTACTATGTCAATCATGTTGGAACAAATTAGCGTTTCTGAAACAAGAGTTATGGCAGAAGTGACTGCGATGTTCCGATGTTTCTAGGTGTTGGCACGGATACTGTTCGGTCCCAACCCCAGGAGGTAGTTACTGGGAGCCATTCTGAGGAGGGAGTGCTGAGGACTCCCCTCAACAAGGGGCTGTGGCCAAGGAAAGGGGCCCTGAGAGACCTCACACAGAGCCCCCCAGTCGCATACGGCACGGCTGAACTCTCCTGGCTTCCCAGAGAATCCAGAAGGAAAGGGCGGCCTCCCGCAGCCCCCGCCAGCCAGCTCAGGGGCAGACGGCCTAGTGGGGCCCTTGCCCAGCCACCCGCCTATCTATTGGCTAAAAAAATGTAAAAACAAAAATCACTCTTCCCATACTACTCTTTTTCTCCTTCCCTCTTTTTAAAATCCTGTTTTTGCTTTTGTTCATTGACAGCAGCCTAAAAAGTGTTCTTCCTCATATATGGGAGTTAATTCTTTTTGTTTTTTTGAGACGGAGTCTCACTCTTGTCACTGAGGCTGGAGTGCAGTGGTGTGATCTCAGCTCACTGCAACCTCCACCTCCCAGGTTCAAGCGATTCTCCTGCCTCAGCCTCCTGAGTAGCTGGGATTACAGGCGTGTGCCACCACCCCCAGCTAATTTTTTGTATTTTTTGTAGAGACGGGGTTTCACCACGTTGGCCAGGATGGTCTTGAACTCCTGATCTCAAGGCTCACTGCAACTTCTGCCTCCCGGGTTCAAGGGATTCTCCTGCCTCAGCCTTCTGAGTAGCTGGGAGTACAGGCCTGTGCCACCACGCCAGGCCAATTTTTGTATTTTCAGTAGAGACGGGGTTTCACCATGTTGGCCAGGATGGTCTCAATCTCTTGACCTCATGATCCTCCCACCTCGGCCTCCCAAAATGCTGGGATTACAGCGTGAGTCACTGTGCCCAGCCTAATTTTTGTATTTCTGGTAGAGATGGGGTTTCACCGTCTGGTCTGGTCTGAAACTCCTGACCTCAAGTGATCCACCGGCATTGGCCTCCCACAATGCTGGGATTACAGGCGTGAGCCACCGTGCCCGGCCTGACGCGGTGAAAGTCTGAAGATTCTACATCTACTCCTTCAAATTTACTTCTAGGAATT